>NC_000013.11:84674572-84827413 GCF_000001405.40 Homo sapiens
TTGTTCATGACACATTTTATTATCCAATATTGAAATAATAAAAACAATAAATTGCATTTGTTAATATTGCCACATATCTCATCAGAAAAGCTTGAAGTAATGAAATGTTGTAAAGCACTTCAGATGGATACTAGTTTCTCTAATTTCAATACTTGCTTGATACTGACTTTTTAAACTGTCATTGCTTAACGATGAAGGGAATGTTACTATCGGTATAGTTAGGTCTCTCCATCTTGATTTGTGCTAAGGCACCAGGAGTTTTAACCACTATTGTTTTGCACCAACAGTGCAAATGTCAGTACAATTATTCCAGGGTAAACAGTATCACGCAGAAGGATTATTTGGCACCCGGCATATTTTAGCACTACTCACGTTTATTGCTAAGCATTTGTATAAATTATCTTCTATGATAATTAATTTGTGCTTATTCTGGACCAATACACGAAAACAGCAAGTGTAGCTCCATGTTGTATTCATCTATTTGTAAGTCAAGAATACAATCCTGAACTCAGTATTTGTTGTTTTCAGTTAGATATTTAATTTGAAGATTTACAGTATCATTGAAACCACGTTGACATGATTTCTTTTATTAACTTTTCATTTGGCAGACACTCACCAATGGCAAAGTTTCAAGCCTTTATCAATTTCTCAACTATCATATACAGTTACCCAACCAATGAAATACAATTTACCCTGTATGAGATTCCATGATTTTTTCATTTCTAGTTTGAAAGATGTCAAAAAAGACTTTCAACTTTAAAAGAACTCATGTTTACTTTTAAAATATTCAAATCTTTTTTTTCTTTAAACTTCGAGTGACTGCTTTCAAAAGGATGCTACATTTTAACTGACATGTAACACCATTCAAAAATGTTCTATGGTATAAGACACAATAAGGCAAATTGTTAACATCACATAAAGCTGAGAGAAAGATAGTCTTTGTCATATTTCCCTTTCTTAGTTACAGTTGGCCCAGTTTTTTGACATTAGTTTCCTTTTTCCGTGAGTCAGAATACTAACTGAAATGTCAGATTTATGTTTTTCAGCATCTATAATCACAGAGGATGAAGCTGTGAGTTGAGAAAACAGGTTGCAGTATCATCCTTACTAGGCCAACGTTCTGTCAGTAACTATAAGAAAAATATAATGTGAATAATTTTTTCTTTCATTTAGAAATATCATATTTTTATTATAAAATGATAACTATTTCAGAGGAAATTTAAGAATTGGGAAAACTTTTTAAATAATGTTTAAAAAAAGACATGCAAAACAAGAATACAAAATTTACTTAGATCTTGTTGTGTGTCCACATATTTACATTCACATTTATAATAATTACTCATGTATTTGAAGAAATTTCTACTTTCTGACTAGTTGCATTCTCTGTTGCTCTTTTTCTGATTCTATTTTACGTTTTCTATGTTGCTTTCTTTGACATGATCAAGGTATTTTGTTGTTTTATCTTCCCACTTTGTGTTAGTTTATTATTTGTTTTTATAAGCTCAAAGATTTACTCAGTTTGGGTAAAGGACACATTTGACTCCATAAAACATTCTCCCTTGAGGATTTTATTTAAAGACAAAGTTGAGTTTTGGGACAAGAGAACTAGAGTCCAGGCAAGCACTGGAAAGAAAAAAAAGGGTATGAAAGCTCTCAGCAAAGTCTTTAAGTCCCTTAACCATATAATAATTCTAGGCTTATGAAACCAGTTAGGCCAGTACCAAACCATGAATGGTGAGGCTGGTCACCAGATGATATTTCAAACTTAAATAGCGCATTCATAGATCCTGTTCTCCTCACTTTGGCTAATAGCTAAAAACTAGACATATCGGCATCCTCAGATAAAGAGAGAACCTTATTCATCCATTTGTAAATCATTGCTGTCTTTACATATGGTTTGTTTTAATGCTTTAAAAGTTAACTTAGTTACTTTATCCTTCTTATTTAATAATATCAAAGCTTATTACTTTCCTCTTGAAAATACATTTTTATTTTCATTTGAAAAATTGTATTGTAGACTTTTTTCCCCAAAATTCACTGCTATTATTGCTCTTTCATTGGGTATAATTATTAATATTTTGCTTAATATATTAACTATTTTACAGGATACTTTTTATTCTATGTTGTACAGTGAGTCATTTTAATAAATTATTTTTTACAAAATTATTTTTTATTAGAAAAAATGCTGAAAACATTTTGTTGTTTTATCTTCCCACTTTGTGGTGTCAGCTAAAAAGCTGACACCACATGGCCAGTTGCATGCACATAACTTTCATTACAAGAAGCATGAAATTTTAAAAATATTTTTAGAGAATAATGGCTAAATAAGAACTTATCTACTCTACTATGCTGTACATTATGTCATTGTTTATATTAAAATGTGGTTGCAGAAAGCCATAAATGCCGTCATTTCTCTTATTAGTATATGTTGGTGGTTTCTGATTTGTAAATATCCATTCTTTTTTGCTTGATGTCAATAAACTACCATTTAAAGATCAAAAATTACTTTTTATTCTTCCTGTTTGTTAGCTTGTTTAGGAATCTACATTTATGCTTGAAGCTTTTTACATTTCAATTAATTATATTTTCCACTTCATTGTCTTTTATATTTTCCGAATTGATATATATTAGTTTTATATAAAATATTTTGTTTCAGTTAGTTACTCGTGTATGCATCAACCTTGACTATATATACCTCAGTCAACTAGCTACTTTTTATGTCTTTATTACTGGTTACTTATTTTTTAGGTGATTGTATAACTAAAACCACTCAGAAATTTGCATTTGAAATTTTCTTTATCATAGAGAGATAGTACCTAATTCAAAGTATTATGATTTTCCAAGACCAACCTTAAAAGTATCAAAATATCAAGTAGCCACAAATTTGTGTTATAAGTGCCAAAGCATAATGCTTATCCTATCTTCCTCTACATTATTTGCAGATATCAATATACCACAAAGCATGGCATTACCTGAAGATATCTTAGTTGGTAGTTTGATGTGGGTAGTGGACAACTTCGTATACAAGCTCCCTACTTTCCCCTTTCTCAGGCTGCATTTGAGAGATAAATAGTGAATCTGTAGGGACCTATGTTGGATGGTTTAAATGGGTTCAAACATGCAGTACTTTTCTAAAATTATATGCTCAGGTAAGTTAAATGTCAACCATTGAAATGTGTACAAAATTTAAAAATCAAGATTAATTTCACACAATGAGTTGTTGCCTAAAACTCAGTGGAACAAAAATACATGTTGGATTGCTGATTTGTCTAAAGACTGAAGTGACACTAAAAATTGGAAATTGGAGAGAACATTTGATATTAGCTGTATGAAAAGTATAGACCATGGTAGGATAAGAATCTAGCCTTAGTTTCTTTTTAAAATCTGTGGACGATATGAATCACAAGGTATTTTGACTTTTCAAGCTATAGAATACACTGACTATGTATGATTAATTTAACAAATACGTATTATTTAGCTCTGAGTCAGGTCAAATTTTATAGTTAATACTGAAGTGAATGTAAATATAATCTATTTTTCTAAAAATAAACTTAAAACATTATCTCATGTCCCTGGTCTACAGAACCCAGTGACATAATTTAATCACTTGAAAAAATATTCATGAATTCACTAATTTTTTCAATCATATACTGTTGTATCCCAATGCATCCAAGGTTCTATATAGCTTTCATAAATTATCTTCCATGTGGCTTCTCAGTTCCAGGTAACAGAGTGTCTTATGTAGCATCCAGTTTTTGGTAGGTAATAGATAGTAGGAAATTATTTGCCCTATTTACCCGTAAACATTTTCAAAAACATACTTCATCTTGTATTGCTATTCAATGCAAGTTTCTACATTTGTTGCATCTGATGAGAGGTCCTTAGATTTACCAATCTTCTAGTCACCTAGTTAATTTAGATTATTTCTAGTACTCTAGTAGTGTGTATTTTTCTGATCTGCTTGCATTTTATCAGACAATTCTTTACATATAGATGGAGCTGAGGGATAATTCAAACTGAAATTTTCTCCATATTTCTTTCTTACGTGGATCCTAAGAGACTTAGTAAAGGAAGGTTCTTAGTCTTTAAGCTGAGACCTATGCGTAACAACATTTCTACACTTAAGCTGCTTTGCCATTCTCAAATGGCGGATTTGTTTATGTGTTTCAATGAGCTTAACCCCATCAAAGGCAAACACACTGGGTTGTCTTATCTAAGGTCTTGGGGCAGGTAGTGCAGTTCTTCTCTGTCCCTGTTCCCATCACTTCCTTATGGCAAACATATTAAGCTTGGCTTCCTTCAAAGCCTAATCTTTGGCTCTTTAAAGCAGCAGACTCTTGAAAATGAAAAGCCTTTCATTTCAAGGTTATTGTCCCTGCTTTCAGCGTAAGAATCTAATTTGGAACACAAAACCAATCATTCTGTTCTATTTGAATACATTTTGGACTTTACTTCATGTTCTGAAAGCAATTAATATTGTTGATCCAATTGCAGGAGATGGAAGGTGGAGGACGGAAATAAATACATTTTTGAGTGAAAACTTGGTTTATAGGCCCAAATTTTAATACAACACACCATTATTTGCACAATTCTCTCTCTCTCTCTATGTAATTAAAACATAATCACATGCAGAGAGCTTTGCAAATTTTAGGGGCAGACATCATTAAACAATTGAGAAAATGGAACATATCCAGCATGCCAAAATCTGCCTGCATGCTTAAAGTTATGCGCAACTACTATGATTTCTGATGGATTAGTCCACAGAGTAGTGTTGCTTTTATATGAATTTTAAATTTAAAAAATTTTTAAATATATATTTAGGGGATACAAGGGCAGATTTCTTACATGCAATTGCATAATAGTGAAATCTGAGCTTTTAGTGTACCCATCACCTGAATAGTGAACACTATACCCAATAGGAAACTTTTCAATCCTCATGCCTCTTCCAAGCTCCCACCTTTTGCAGTCTCCAATGTCTGTTATTGCACTCCGTATGTCTCTTTGTACTCACTGTTTAGCTCCCACTTATAAATGAGGACGATCGGTATTTGACTCTGCTTCCGCGGTGTTTCACTTAGGATAATGGCCTCCAGATCCACCGATGTTGCTGCAACAGACATAATTTCATTCATTTTTATGGCTGAGAAGTATTCCATGTTATGTGTGTATGGTATATATATATCACATTTTCTTTTTCTAATCTTCCACTGATGGATGCTTAGATTGATTCAGTATCTTTGCTATTGTGAATAGTATGGTAATAAACATACAAGTACAGGTATCTTTGTGATAGAATGATTTCCTTCCCTTTGGGTATATACCCAGTAGTGGTATTGCTGAATCTAAGGATACTTCAATGTTTAGTTGTTTGAGAAATCTCCATACTGTTTTCCATAAGGTTGTATTAATTCACATTCTCACCAACAGTGCATATGTGTTCCCATTTCTCTGAATCCTTGCCAACAACTGTTGTGTTTTGACTTTTTAGTAATAGCCATTCTGACGGGTGTAAGGTGGTATCGCTTTGTGTTTGTAATTTGCATTTTTCTGAGATTAGTGATATTGAGTATTTTTCATATGTTTCTTGGCCACTTGGCTGTTGTCCTTTTCACACTTTTTAATGGGGCTATTTTGTGGTTGTTGTTAAGTTGTTTGTGTTCCTTATAGATTGTAGATATTAGTCCTTTGTTGGATGCATAGTTTGCAGATTGTTTTTTGCCATTATGTAGGTTATCTATTTACACTCTTGTTTCTTTTGCTGTGGAGAAGCATTTTAGTTTTCTACTTCCATTTGTCTATTTTTGTTTTTACTGGCATTTGCTTTTAAAGACTTGGTCACAAATTCCTTGCATAGGCAAATATCCAGAAGAGTGTTTCCTGAAATTTTTATAGTTTCATGTTTTTTATTTAGGTTTTTAATCCATCTTGTGTTAATTTTTATATATTGAGAGAGGTGTAGCTGCAGTTTTAGTCTTCTGCATGTGTCTATCCAATTTTTCCAGCACCGTTTATTTAATTGTTCTTTCCACAGTATGCATGTTTTGTTGACTTTGTCAATGATCAGTTGGCTATTGGTATGTGGCTTTATTTCTAGGTTCTCTATTCTGTTCTGTTGATCTTTGTGTCTATCTTTATACCAGTACCATGTTGTTTTTGGCTACTATAGTCTTGTAGTATAATTTGAAGTCAGGCGATGTGAAGCCTTCAGCTTTTTTGATTTTGCTTAGGATTGCTTTGACTTTTAGGATCCTTTTTGGTTCCATATGAATTTTAGGATTTTTTTTTCTAATTCTGTGAAAAATGGCATTGGTAATTTGGTAGAAATTCCACTGAATCTGTAGTATCATGATTTTAATGATAGTGATTCTTCCCATCCATGAACATCTCGAGATGTTCTCTTATTTGCTTGTGTCATCTGCAATTCCTTTCATCTTGTTTTGTAGTTCTCCTTATAAAGATTTTTCACCTCCATGGTTAAGTATATTTCTAGTGTTTTTATTGTGTTTTTTTTTTTGTAGCATTGTTCATGGGATTTTCTTCTTGATTTGGTACTCAGCAAGATCACTATTTGTATATATACAAAAATCCTAATTTCTGTACATTAATTTTGTGTCCTAAGACTTTCCTGAATTCATTTATCAAATCTAAGATTTTTTTTTCAGTCGAGTCTTTGGAGTTTTCTAGGTATAAGATCTTATCATCAGTAAACAAGAATAACTGAATTCCTGTTTTCCAATTTTGAAGCCTTTCATTTTGTCCTCTTACCTGATTGTTCTGGCAAGGACTTCCAGTACTCTTATAGGTTGAATAAGAGTAGTAAAAGTGGGCATCCTTATCTTGTGCCTGTTCTTAGAGGGAATTTTACACAAATTAATCATATTAATTGTAGACTTTGAGGTTTTGTTTCATTTGTTCAACATTATGTTTGTAAGATTTGTAGGATTCACTTATGTTGATGACTGTAGCTCTAGTTATGCCATTTTAATTTCTGTACATTACTCTATTGAGGAAACATACCTTAATTAACAACTTTGGACCAATATTTTAGTTTTCAGGTTTGGGTCTTTTACAAATAATGTTGCTATCAATATTGTCATATATATCTTTTAGTACATATGTGGATACAATTTGATTTGGAAATTGTTTCATTTTCATTTTTTTTTTTAGAGATGTAGTCTCACTCTATCACCCAGACTGGAGTGCAGTCATGATCACAGGTCACTGCACGTCTACCTCCTGGGCTCAGGTGATCCTCCTACTCAGCCTCTTGATTAGTTAGGGCTGCATACCCATGCCACCACACCTGGCTTTCTTGTTTTCAATGTCACCAAATGATTCCAAACAATTTCCCAAAAGGGCTATATCAATTTACTCTTCATCAATATATGTGCAACTACTACATCCTTGCCAATATTTGATATTGTCAGATTTTTGTTTTGTTTTTTGATAGGGATTCTTGGAAGGAATCTTCCTCAAATAGATAAAAAGCAACTGTGAAACTCTTACAACTAACACTCTATTTAGTAGTACAGTACTGAATATTTTCCACCTAAGATCAGGGTATAATCAAGGATTTCAGTATGTCATTTCTCTTCAACATTTTATGGAAGCAATATTAGCAAGGGCAGTAAGACAAAGAAAATAAATGAAAGGCATTATGAGAAAAGAAAAACTGTCCTATTTTGCAGAAAAGGTTATAGAATTTATCAAAAAACTACCAGAATTAAGTGAGGTTAGCAATTTCACAGGAAATAAGGTCAATATCCAAAAATGCCTAGTGGTTCATGGGGCTCACCTACATTCTCTCCTGCTGTCTTTTTTTTTTTTCTTCTTAGAGATTGTATTTCACTCTGTTTTCCAGGCTGGAGTGCAGTGGTACAGTCAGGGCTCACTGCAGCCATGAGCTCCTGGCCTCAAGCAATCCTCCCACCTCAGTTTCCCAAGTAGCTAGAACTACAGGCACATGCAATGACCCTTGGGTACTTTTTCATATTTTTTAGAGATGAGCCTTCACTGTGTTGTCAAGGCAAGTGTCAAACTCCTGGCTTCAAGAAATTCATCCATCTCATGCTCCCAAAGTGTTGGGATTACAGGCATGAGCCACTGCAAACGATAGACTTTCTTTCTTAAGGAGTACTTTTACAGAGCATAGAATTTTAAATTGACACCTATTATTCATCAGATCTATGTAACTGTGGGGAGAGTGAAAATAGTTAACTCAGGCAGGAAGGTATGTTTTATCATTGACAATTTTTAGAATTTCCAGTGTATGGTGATAACAAAAAGCAGATTGGCTTTTATTCAGTTTTGTGATAGCTTTAAATTCATTACAGACAGTGAACACAGTCATTGCCTGTACTTGGGCAGAATATCCTCACCACCTTCTCTTGGCGTTCTATTACTGTGAATATATCATTCAATCACCTTCAGCTTCCAAAAGTTTTGTATAAAATTCAACTTTCATTCTCAATTATAAAATGTGATTGTTTCTTCTTTGAACGTAAACTATACCCCTTCTCCCATCTTGCTGGCTAGTTTATAAATCACTCTTTGTTTTGTTTTATAATATATGTAAATTCAGTTTTACATTTTAATTTTCCTGAGGTTTTGAGGGGATTTTGAATATGTGTAATTTATGTAGTTCATAATTTTTAAAAAAATTATCAGTAGTTATCTGTTTAAATAAGACCACAGACCCATTCTCTTTTTATTCTAATTTAAATGTAATTTAGGTGTTTTTTCAACTTTATCTTTTATTCCTTCTCACCTGTTCTTCAATTCGCCAATTTCTCATTACCTATCTAATCAGGTGTTTCATCTACTCATTGAGTTTTAAATTGTAATAATCGTACTTTTCAGTTCTAGAATTTGAATGTAGTTATTTTTCAGATCTGGCATGCAATATTTGATTATTTCCCATTCTTACTTGAGGTATTCAATCTTGTATTTTCTTTCCTCCAACACATAAATCTTAATTATTTAAAAATATGAATCTTGCAGTAACACAACTGACCTAGAGAAGCCTCTGAGAGCCTTGGGAAGAGTTTTTTTTTCTTTGCAAAGGGCAGAGAGTCCTGGAATGGGTTTGCCCTGAGAGGGGCCTGTGAAAAAGTGTATGTATGTATATATATACTTACATATAAAAATGTCTCTATATGTCCTCTTGTGTTTATTATTTGTAATATCTTGTTCTCAAGCATGTATGCACACACACACACACATACCTACATTATACATGAATGGAAACAAAAATGATTATATTAAAAAAAACTTCTAAAAAATACATTGAGAGCACTCTTATTAAGAAAAAAAGTAAATGTAGTTAACATTAACTAGAGGACCAAGAAAGCATATTGAATGGTGCAGAATTTAATATACAGCCTTTTAGAATGTGTTTAATTTTGATAAAATATTAAACAAAGGTTATGGTAGTTGAAGCAAACAGTTAAATAAAACACAGAGGGAGAGCTGTTGCATGGAGAATTGGGAGAAAGATTTTTAATTTAAAAGATTGAGAATCTGTGGAAGGGTCCAGTTTCTCTCTTAAACTTTGTTTTGTAGCATATTTCTATCTTTTTACAGAGGAACAAAGTGAAATCCTTTCTTCCCTGCTAGCAAGACAGAGCCTGACAGCGAGAGTACTCTAAGGTAGTTGTCAAGCTGCCAACTCTCAAGGTGGCCAATTAGGACAAAAGTCAAACTGAAAATAACAATCAAGTCATTATTCAAATACTGCAATAATGCAGGCAAAAGGCAAAGAAAAAGAAAAGTGCTGTCCTCTAATGTTTTATTTTTTCCAACGGAAAGATATCAGGCTAGAGTCAGTCAGGTAACATTTGATGAAGGTGGGAAAACATCTCACTAAGCAGCAGTGAACAAGAAGCTCCTGCCATCTTATGGAGACCTGTGGGGACAGGGAGAGGGAATGGGTACAAGGTAGGAGCAAACTCAGTCAAAGCAGAGAACAAGCTCCTGGTCACGATAGTTTTCTACTCCTCTTGCCATAGGAGATTCTCAAATGGGGCCCCAGATGAGACATGCAAGGGCAGAATCCTGGGCTAGGGATGAAAATATATGTATGAACATGGCCAGTAGAGGTGGGAGTAGAGTGGGACAGTGGGGAGGGGGAAAAGAGAAAGTGATATATTTGGCTGCTTATCCCTTTGAGACTGCAAGTCTGGTGTTGGGAAGACAGCTCTCTCCCACAGGGACTGACAGGTAAAGCCTTTGCCATTGCCTGTGGTCTGGCCTGAAAGATCACACAGGATTTTGGCCCCTAGCTAAGCCCGTATATATTGTAGGGGTTGCATGGCCACCCACATTCTCAGTGATTTGGTAGAAAGGCATTCTCGAT
Source organism: Homo sapiens (assembly GCF_000001405.40). Taxonomy (NCBI): domain Eukaryota; kingdom Metazoa; phylum Chordata; class Mammalia; order Primates; family Hominidae; genus Homo; species Homo sapiens. The sequence goes on from NC_000013.11 coordinate 84,684,927, forward strand.
GCAGAGAGAGTTGTGGTCATGGGTATGGCTTATAACAGTAAAATGATACACAGTAGGGTCATCAAAGGAAAAGGCACATCAGATGGAGTCTGGAGAAATCCAGGTGCAGACTTCCAAAACTCACCCTTTCGGAATGAGGGAGTGGACTCACGCAAAATGCTTTCCATTTCCCAGCAGTGAAACGCAACAACATGTTCCCAGTGCTTCTGCCGAGGGGGACTCACTTGAAACTCAAGTCAAGGTGGTTTTCTGTTTGTTTGTTTTGGAGGAACTGGTTACATAGGGATTCTTTGTCTGCACATACATGAATGGTTATCAAAATTCCAGAGCCCCAGAATAAAAGCAGATTGTTGTGTGTTAAATTGTGTCCTACAAAAAGACCTCTTACATTCCTAATTTCAGGTATCTCAGATTGTGAACTTATATAGGAATAGGGTCGTTGCAGACATAAATTCAGTTAAGTTCAGGTGAAATTAAGTTCAGATGAAGTTGTATTGTAGTGAAGTGGGTCCTTAGTCTAATATGATTTGTGTCCTAATAAGAAGAAAGATATTTGGACACAGATGGAGAGGCAAGATGACTATGTGAACAGAGGTAGATTTTGGAGTTAAACTGCCAGGAACCTAGGAACACCTGGGACCACCAGAAGCCAGATGAGACACAGAGGGATCCTCCCTTATAGGGAGGTGGTGGGTAATTGCCAATTCGATTTCACACTTCTATCCTCAGGAACTGTAAGAGAATACATTTTTATTGGTTTAAGCAGCATGTGTGCTATGATAGCCCCAGGACATGAATAGATTTTGGTGATGGGATTGGGGTATTGCTGCAAGAAATTTTTAAATAATGTGACAATGGCTCTGGAATTGGGTAATGGGTAAAGGCTGAAAGAGTTTTGAGGCTCTTGATTTAAAAAAAATATGCATAGACTCACTTGAAGAGATTGTTGGTAGAAATAATGCTTATTAAAGAACATTCTAGTGATAAATCAGAGATAAGTTAGGAGAACTACATAGAAATTTCCTATCATGTTAGAAAATAGTACCATAAGTAGGAACAGTAAGGCTACTTCTGGTAAAGTCTGAGATGAAAATGAGGAACATGATATTAGAAACTGAAGAAAAGGCAATTCTTTTTATAAAGTGACAGATGACTTCGCTGAATTATTTTGTGCTATTTTGAGGAAAGTACAATTTGTAAGTGATAAACTTTAATATCTAGTGATGATATATCTGAGCAAAGTGTGGAAGATATGGTCTGGTTTCTTTTTGCTGCTTATAGCAAAATACAAGAGGAATATACAAGTTGAAGAATAAACTGTTAAACAAAAAGGAAACAGCACTTGATGACTTGGAAAATTCTCATCCTATCCTGATAGCATGAACCAGGAGTCTGTCTAGACAACCATGTGCTGAAGAAATTGAGTACTTTACTGTGATGGGTAACATTAAGTCTCAACTTGATTGGATGGAAGGATGCAAAGTATGGTTTCTGGGTGTGTCTTTCCGGGTGTTGCCAGAGGATATTAACATTTTGAATCAGTGAACTGGGAGAGGAAGACCCACTCTCAATGTGGGTGAGCACCATCCAATTTGCTGCCAGCCTGGCTAGAAGAAGCAGGTGGAAGAAAGTAGAATAAGCTGGCTTACTGAGTCTCCCAGCCTCCTTCTTTCTCCTGTGCTGGATGCTTTTTGCCCTCAAACATCAGACTCCAAGTTCTTCAGCCTTTGGACTCTTGGACTTACACCAGTGGTTTTCCAGGGGTTCTCAGGCCTTTGGCCACAAACTGAAGGCTGCACTGTCGGCTTCCCTACTTTTGAAACTTTGGGACTTGGACTGAGCCACTACTGGCTTCCTTGCTCCTTGGCTTGCAGAGGGCCTATCATGGGACTTTACCTTGTGATTGTGTGAATCAATTCTCCTCAATAAACTCCCTTTCATATATACATATATCCTATTATTTCTGTCCCTCTGTAGAACTCTGATTAGTACAATTACTCATGTATCCAACCAAATCACTCAGCAAGATACAGGAAAAGAGATGTGATTTTCCAGAAAGGATATGTAGATCATCTTGTTTAATGTTTAGATTCCTGTGAATTACTCAGGAGACTGAAAAGGTTCTTTAAGAATTATACCGGTGGAAACATTGCCAGCTGGTGAAGCAGAGTATTTGCCTGACCCCTTTGCAGGACTCACAACAGCATTGCCTTGTTTACTCAGCCTGCCGCTCTCAACCCCTCACGGGAGAAAGCACACAAGCAAATGGGGTGGGAACTGGAGTGCATGAACACTGGAACTGGCTGCCCATTTTGGTGCCTGTGGGATCAAACTCTACTCACTCAGACTGCTGCATTCCACCCCTTGCGGGAGGGAGCAAGCAGGTGAGTGGGTGCAGGAGCCTGAGCGACCACTTTTGGGCACTGGCAAGAGCAAACTCCATGCAGGCCCTGTTCAGGCAGCATGCCTGTGACTCCCAAAGCCCTGGAGGGTGTGTTACAGTGCTCCTTCAGCTCTGCCATCCACGAACGGTTTAAGTGTTAACATCTCAGTAGGCCCTTTGCATCCATGCTCATGGCTGCCAAGATCTTGTCTAATATCCAGGAAAAATGAGGTTGCCCAAACAAATTGAAGAATAGTAAATGTGGGAGATTTTATTGCCAATGAAAGTGATTCTCAGCTGGAAGGGAAGCTGAAAAGGGGATGGGGCAGAAAGGTAATCTTCCCCTGAAGCCCAGGCTTCTCTAGCTGGATTCTTCTCCAAAGTTATGCTGTCAAGCTGTCCCTCTGAAGTCAAGCCACCTCTCTCCAACATCCAGCCATAGTCCCTACATCCAGTTGCTTTTCTTCTCTGCTGGCTGAGTCTGGGGTCTTTATAGACACAGGATGAGGTGGGACAGGCCCATGAATGGTTTAGTAAAAGGCAACATTCAAGCAGGAAAACAAGGATATAAGTTCTCACTTTGGGCTGCAGTTTCAGGCTTTTCAGCTTGAGGGTGGGGTTTTTACCAAGGATTCATCCCTTTTCTGCCTAAAATTTATCTGGCTCCTGTCCCTATCATTTGGACTGAGAGTGATAGAGATGGGATGAAATTAATGAAGAATGATTCTGATGGCAGGGCCATGGATGCAGAGGCCTGAACTGATAGAACATCCTTGGGCAGAAGGCTACAGTTGCCTCTCAGATGGCCCAAGAGGGCCAAGAGGACAAAGCATTGGGCCACAGAGGCTTAGTCTGAAGAATTGGAATTTAATGAAATTTGCCCTACTGGTTTTTGGACTTGCTTGGGACCTAAGACCCCGTTTTCTCCTATTTTTCAATTATAAAATGGGAAGGTCTATCCTATGACTTTGCCACCATTGCATTGTGTAAGCATATTACTTGTTTTCTGGTTACACAGACCCACAGATTAAAAAGAGTGTTGCTGCAGGATAAACCATAACCAAAGTCTCACCCATAACTGATTTAGATGATTCGATGATAAGATTTGGGACTTTTTTAGCTGATTATACATAGATGAGATTTGGACTTAGAGTTGACACTGGAGTGGGTTAAAACTTTTGGGGATGTCAAGATGGGGTGAACATATTTTGCATGCAGGAAGGACATGAATTTTGTGGGGCCAGAGAGTGGACTGTTATGGATTAAATTATGTTCCCACAAAAGATATATTGAACCCCTAAGATTAAAATACACTCATGTACAAGCAGAAAGTCTGGCACAATGACTCTCTGTAAAATTGTTGTTTATAAATTTTAAAATATTTGACTACAAGGCAAAATAAGTGACAAAGCAGAATTTGTTTTCTAATATGAATCCAATTGTTACAGAAACTTGTTCATGTCATTCTGTTTATAAAATATTTTCCTCCCACAATAATCAGTGATTATAATAATGTAATATCATTAATTAAGATGATTTATTGAAATAACTGTAACATAATTTATTAAAATATTAACATAATATAACTAACATAACTAACATTATTTCTTAACATAACTATTAATTTTGATCATCATAGCAAAAATAAATCAGCTGAAATTTTAAAACAATTATAATTAGTAGGACAGTTTTACTCAAAACCACTGAGATGTTTCTGGCACGTGTTCCATCTGTAAAAATTATAATTCAAGCAAAACTGCAAAGGTAGGTATAGGCAGAAACCAAAGCCTTAAAGTCTATTTGAGTATTTAGAAATGGAGTTCATCCAATTTCCTCCTTGAAATGGATATGAATATATTTTTACTATTGTCCATTTTATGGATGGCCAAAAGTTTTTCTCTGCTAAATGGCAACTACATTAACAAAGAGAAAATAAAATCAAACAAACAAACAAAAACAACAATCACCATTCTAGGCTTTGTATTTTCAACTTAGGCTGTTATCAACATCATTATCCAGTTATCAACATCTTTATCCAGACATAGAAATACCGATTTTACAGAGATTTCAATCCAATAGCAGTTCATGATACTGCTCAGCATCAAGGAACTCTATCACATTCATCATACTCAATCAAAAATGAAAAATAAAATGATAAATAAAGGTTGGAAAATTATTTGAATGGTTAAATGTCATGACCTAGATATTATCCTTTGCTGCCTTGGCTATCAGAAGTTCACTTACTGGAAATCATAGGTTATCATTCTATAAGCCCTTAGCCAGTGAGGCTAACATTTACACCTCCAGTAACTGATTGTCATCTTAGGTTTATTGCGATATACAAAACAAAAAGTTTGTAATCAACAGATCCAGGCAACTTTACCAAAGGAAAACCACAGAGACAATGTTGGAAACAACCTACAGACGCTGTTGAACCTAACTGGAATTGACTATATTAGTTACTACTAATTTCATATTTATGTCTAAAAGCACAGATTTCTGTATTTACCTTTTGAAATTCATAAAGCATCACACTCCCGTGACCTCAGTGTACTAAATGCTTGGAGATGTAAAACTGAGACTCTTATACTTCTTTAGAAGCAGACAGCGTCATAAAGAATTCAGCGTTTCCAAGAAACTTGGATCAAATATCAGATTTTTAGACTTCTAAGATTTCCAGACCTAGAGGCTGAATGCCAGGAGCCACTGGTTATTTCACCCTTTGTTTTCTCTTTCTTCTGTCCTTTCCTCTCATCCTTTTGAAATGGTTATCTTTAGTCATTTTCTAAAGATTATAATTATAGGTTTTTAATTATCAAAAATTGAGACATTTCTCCTTGTTTCCATTGTTTTTGTTTACAAAAGCTAATCCTTGTTACTAAGATAAAACAGAAAGATAAGTAAACTTGGAAACTGACCACTGTGCCACTTTGCAAATTGAGAAGTTGAGATGGAAGGTTTTTTCGGGCTAGGGTTAAAAAAAGTCAGTGTTGGTAAAGAGAATACATCAAGGCCTATTAATAATCTACTTCTTGTGTTTCTTGACATTACAATTCTACATTGTATCTTATCCAGAGCCAAAGTGCTTCTATATAGCCACTACCTAATGAATGAATTTACAAGAAAAAAAAACAAAGCAAAGCAAAAGCAACCAGAAACTGATGATCCACCTGAAACTCAAGGATTTCCTATAATCATGGACCTCTTTTGATTTGGAAACCTGGATAAAGATGACAATTTGAAATCTTGACATTAGGCATGATGATGTTTTTGCAGAGGTCAATTCTGGTAAAGAGCAATGAATGTAAAAGTCCCTGAAAGACTAAAAATATTTCACTGTGACCCTTGAAAAATTGACTCCAACTCTTCCTCCTTACCAAAACTTTGCTAAACATAAGTTGATCAAACAATAGCTGATACACTGCAACCACCATTTTTCTACTCTACCATCCTGCTCTGTAATTAATGTAACATGTATCTAAAGTTTACTGAAGAATTTCCTTAGTGAACATTATTGGAAGAAAACTAAATGTTGACTTATTTTCTATCAGTCACATAATAAAATTAAGCATCATGCTTCTCTCACTAACATTCATTTCAACATTTTTCTCATTTTGCAACATTTTCACATAAGCTTGAGCAAATGATTTAGTTGTTTTTCTTCTTCCAAAATATGTAATGGATATTTAAGTTGGTCACCAGGAAACAAATATTTAAATGAACAGGAAACAAGAGTGTGATTTATACAACAAACAAACATATCATCGCCAATTTTCCAAAGTTCTTTGGAATACCCTAACAATAAGTAAGTCCAAAGAGTACTGTCTGTTTCTTTAAGTTTAACAGGGTAATCAAACATATATGCACTTAAGCAAATGTAAGAGAGTGCATTGAGTCGTTTGAGGTTTACCATACCTAACTTGTGTCAGGGATTTGGGTTTGGTTGGTATAGGGGTGGCAAAATATACACTTGTATTAATTTATTTACAGATCAAAACAATGAGAAAATATAATGGTAGATAAAATCCTAACAGAAAAATATAGAGATGTTAAGGATTATAAATTTTATCTCATAATCAGTTGAACACACTGAGCTTTTTTAAGGAGATAAAACTTGACTAACTTCTGTTATAGATATAATTTTAGAAAGAATGCAAATGATGGTTTGGAAATATATTGGAAGAAGACAGTTTAAGGAATGATGAGGGACAAACACTTAGGATAGTGTTTCAATGAACTGAAAGTTTCTTTTACTCTAAATGTGGGAGCTAATAAAAGTCAGAAAAAAAGTACCCGAGAATCATGGATGGAAATGGTACATTTCCTTCACAAGATAGCTTACTTCTGTTAAAAAACACAATGAAGTCCTCATTTAAAAAAGTATTTGTTGGGGTTCCTGGGTAAACTACAAATCCAGCCCTCATCCTCACACTATGTAGACTTACAGAGGAGTTTTCTCACAACATGTCAAGGAATCAGGAGTGAATTTTGGCTTTGGGCAATTCTTTGCTACATATCCAATTGGAAAATTGGAAAATGTATTTCTATTTTAGCACTTATTGTCACTTCTTTCCCCCAAAGTTCTACTCTGTTTAGTTACCCTCTTTAGGTTCATCATGGCCTTCCACTCCTGCTTCATTGATTGAGGTCCATCAGTCTTCGTCAATGCCTGTTTAGCCAGTGACTGTGGCTTAAAAACAGCTGTTCCTCCTCTTTTTTCTTCTTTCTATTGAAACAGACCCTACTTGTGATTTATTTCCTGGGTGTTATACACGATTTAGGGTAGAATATAGAATATAGTTTATCTGAAAAAAGATCTGTTTTATTTGTTAACGTACTAGGTTTTAGAAAATACTTAGAGCTAACTTCAAAGCACTACTTCTTAATCATGTGTAGGTTACACAACAGTCAGCTTTAGTTTCTGTTCTAGGATTACACATGCTACCTTTGAGATCAGAGTCAGTGACTGGCTAATATACCTGAATTGGCTTCATCATTTATAAAATGAGAAAGATATGATATGTGTGTTTTCATGTGGTCTATGTAAATGTTGTGGTTATAGATGCTAAAGTAATGTTTAAATGATTTACTATGTATTTTAATATGTCTATCACGCTCACTGAAAAAAAGCATTAGAACTAAGATATGAAAGTGCTATGATCTCTAAATTGAGAAAAATCCATGTGTTCAGCTTTGAGGGATTTTTTTATTATATCCTTTATTGGAATTAGAAACAAGAGATTAATCATATTAAGAAAAGAATAACTATATTAATATTTGTTCAAACTACTCTTTAAATACAAACTTTTAATTTAGATTTGGAGGGTTTTTTTAAATTTAGGGTATATTTTATCTTCATATGCATAACATTTTTACAATATCAATTTTATACATATGTAGTCACCATCTGTATTTTTCTCAGTTCTCAAAATATTACTGACATATGTTTCAAAGTCACTATCTTCATGACTACTTGAAAATACATTCTGCTTCTTTTTGCCTTTGGGTATTGTTTTACACACAAAACACCCACTGAAAAATTGAGGTCTTAGTGCTCTGCAGTGATTCTCTATGAATTTCATGCTGTAATGTTCTCTTTATAGGTAAGCTGGGCAGGGTGGCTCACACCTAGCACTTTGGGAGGCCTAGGCCGGCGAATCACCTGAGGTTGGGAGTTTGAAACCAGCCTGACCAACATGGAGAAACTCTTGTCTCTACTAAAAATACAAAAAAAAAAAAAAAATTAGCTGGGCGTGGTGGCACATGCCTGTAATGCCAGCTACTAGGGAGGCTGAGGCAGGAGAATCGCTTGAACCCAGGAGGCGAAGGCTGCATTAAGCCAAGACCACACCATTGCACTCCATCCTGGGCAACAAGAGTGAAACTGCATCTCAAAATAAATAAATAAATTATAGTTAAAATACATGATAATGCTAACAGTAGTGAAACATTAATTTATTCAAGAAGGATTATACTTAAATAGAATAATAAGAATAATAAAAAGAAAACATTATTAACCTGGATCACATTATTTAAATGAAGTTTTATACACATAAAAAGGAACATAAAATGTCCATGCATTGCTTGATGAACAATTATAATGTGAACACCTGTTTCAATACTGCCCTGATCAAGGAATAACAAAGTATCACCTGTAACTTATAGTCCTTTCCTACATCTCACGTTTTTCCCAATCACAAATTTCTCTATTATAATCATCACTATATTGACTTCCATGACATTTGTTTTCTTACTTGTCTTTGTATTTTTATGTATACATTTGTAAACACTATAATTTAGTTTTGTCTGATATTGAACATTACACATACAGAAAGTCTTTTTTCAGGGGAAGAGGCCAAGATAGCTGACTAGAAGCAGCTGCCACTGGCAGCTCCCATTGAGAAGAACAAAAATGGCAAGTGAATCCCGTACCTCCAGCTGAGGTATCCAGGTTCTAGGCACTTGGAGCAACCCACAAAAGGCAAGGAAAAATAGGGTAGAGTGAAAGCCCACCAGGGAGTGACATGGGGCAAGGGGAGCTACCACCACCAGCCAAGAGAGGCAGTGAGCGATTGTGCCACCCTGCCCGGGAAACCATGCTTTCTCCACACATCTGTGCAACCCTTGGATCAGGAGATTCCCTTGTGAGCCCAAGCCACCAGGGCCATGGATCCCAAGTGCAGAGCTGTGAGACTTGGCAGCTGCTCAGTTTGCAGCCAGTAGCAGTAGACTGGAGACTGTCTAAGATGACTGTGTTCCTGGGAGGAGAAGCAGCTGCCATCGCTGTGGCTCCAGTTGGCCATTTTCCCCTGCCAGTGCTGGGCAGACAGGGCAGTATGGATAGGGAGGGATTTCCCAGAGTGCAGCACAGTGGCTGTGGCCGATTATGGCCAGACTGCTTCTTAGGTGGGACCTAGATCCATTCCCCCTCACAGAGCGGGGCTGGAGCAACTCCAGTGAGGGGTTTATGGATAGAACTCTTATCTCCATGGGACACAGCCCCAACTCAGCAAACTTAGTCTTTGCTGCCTGTTGGCCCTGAAGAGGCCAGGCAGTCCAGATGAGTGGGATTCCCCACAGTGCAGTACACATGCTCCACCAAGGGGCAGCCAGAGTACTTTGTTAAGAAACCCAGGCAAATAGGGTCTGGAGTGGACCCCCAGCAAACCACAGCATCCTTACAGAAGAGGGTCCTAACTGTTAAAAGAAAAATAAACAGAAAGTAACAAAAAAGACCCCATATAATCCCCACCCAAATGTCATCAGCTTCAAAGATCGAAGGTAGACAAGCTCACAAAGATGAGAAAGAATCAGCGCAAAAATGGTTAAAACTCAAAAAGCCAGGGTGCCTCTTCTCCAAATGATTGCACCACCTCTCTAGCAAGGGCATAGAACTGAGCTGAGGCTGAGATGGATTAATCAACAGAAGTAGGTTTCAGAAGGTGGGTAATAATGAACTTCACTGATCTAAAGGTGTATGTTCTACCCAATGCAAAGAAGCTAAGAACCATGATAAAACTTTATAGGAGCAGTTAACCAGAATAACTAGTTTAGAGAGCAGCACAAATAACCTGATGGAGCTGAAAAACACAACACAAGAGCGTAACAATGCAACCACAAGTGTCAATAGCTGAATAGCCCAAGCAGAGAAAGGAATCTCAGAGCTTGAAGCTATCTTGCTGAAATATAAGACAGGCAGACAAGATTAGAGAAAAAAGAAAAAAAATGAATGAACAAAACCTCTGATAACTATGGGATTATGCAAAAAAACCAAAGCTGCAACTGATGGGATGTACCCAAAATAGATGGGGAGCACGGAATCAAGTTGGAAAACATACTTCAGGATATTATCCAGGAGAACTTCTACAACCTAGCAAGACAGGCAAACATTCAAATTCAGGAAATTCAGAGAACCCCAGCAAAATACTCTATGAGAAGATCAACACTAAGACACATAATTATCAGATTCTCTAAAGTCGAGATGAAGGAAAAAAATGTTAAGGGCAGCTAGGGAGAAAGGCCAGGTCACCTTCAAAGGGAAGCCCATCAGACTAACAGCAGATCTCTCAGCAGAGACCCTTCAATCCAGAAGAGACTGGGGACCAATATTCAACATTCTTAAAGAAAATAATTTCCAAACTAGAATTTCATATTTGGCAAAACTACACTTCACAAGCAAAGGAGAAATAAATTTTTTTCAGAGAAGCAAATGTTGAGAGAATTCATTACCACCAGGCCTGCCTTGCAAGAGCTCCTGAAGGAAGCACTAAAAATGGAAAGGAAAAACTTACCAGCCACTACAAAAACACACTGAAGTACACAGACCAATGACACTATGAAGCAACGACATTAACAAGTCTGCAAAATTACCAGCTAGCATCGTGATGACAGGATCAAATTCACACACAACAATATCAGCCTTAAATGTAAAAGGACAAAATGTCCCAATTAAAAGACAGAACAGGGCTGGGCGAGGTGGTTCACGCCTGTAATATCAGCACTTTGGGAGACTGAGGCAGGTGGATCATGAGGTCAGGAGATCGAGACCATTCTGGCCAATATGGTGAAACCCCATGTCTACTAAAATGTATATATATATATATATATATATATATATATATATATATATATATATATATATATATATATATAAAATTAGCTGGGTGTGGTGGCACATGCCTATACTCCCAGGTACTCGGGAGGCTGAGGCAGGGGAATTGCTTGAACTCCGCAGGTGGAGGTTGCAGTGAGCCAAGATTATGCCATTGCACTCCAGCCTTGTGACAGAGTGAGACTCCATCTCAAAAAAAAAAAAAAAAAAAAAAAAAAAGACACAGGACAGCCAGCTGGATAACGAGTCAAGACCCATTGGTATGCTGTATGCTAGGGACCCATCTCATGTGTAAAGACACATACAGGCTCAAAATAAAGGGATGGAGGAAAATTTACCAAGCAAATGGAAAGCAGAAAAAAGCAGAGGTTGCAATCAAAGTTTATGACAACAGACTTTATACCAACTAAGATAAAAAAAAAGACAAAGAAGGGCATTACATAATGGCAAAGGGTTCAATTCAACAAGAAAAGCTAGCTATCCTAAATATATATGCACCTAATACAGGAGCACCCAGATTCATAAAACAAGTTCTTAGAGACCTACAAAGAGACTTAGACTTCCACATAATAATATTGGGAGACTTTAACACCCCACTGTCAATATTAGATAGATTATCAAGACAGAAAATTAACAAAGATATTCAGGACTTGATATCAGCTCTGGATCAAGTGGACCTGATAGATATCTGCAGAACTGTCCACCCAAAAACAGCAGGATATAAATTCTTATTGGTGCCACATGGCACTTACTCCAAACTGATCACATAATTGGAAGTAATACACTCTTCAGCAAATGCAAAAGAATTTAAATCATAACAAACAGTCTCTCAGACCACAGCACAATAAAATTAGAACTCAAGATTAAGAAACTCACTCAAAACCACACAACTACATGGAAATTGAACAACCTGCTTCTGAAGGACTCCTGGGTAAATCATGAAATTAAGGCAGAAATCAAGAAGTTCTTTGAAACTAAGGAGGACAAAGAGACAATGTGCCAGAATCTCTGGGACACAGCTAAAGGAGTGTTAAGAGGGAAATTTATAACAGTATATGTCCACATCAAAAAGCTAGAAAGATCACAAATCAATATCCTAACATCTCAACTACACGAACTAGAAAACCAAGAGCAAAAAAATCCCCAAAGCTAGCAGAAGACAAGAAATAACCAAGGTCAGAGCAGAACTGAAGGAGATTAAAGACATCAAAAACCCTTAAACAAATCAACACATCCAGGAGCTGTTTTTTGAAAAAATAAAATAAAATAAATAGACTACTAGCTAGACTAGTAAAGAAGAAAAGAGAGAAGAATCAAATAGACAATTAAAAATGGTAAAGGGGATATCACCACTGACCTCCTGATACACAAACAACCATCAGAGAATACTATGAACACCTCTCTGCAAATAGATTTGAAAATCTAGAAGTGATGGATAAATTCCTGACATATACACCTTCCCGAGGCTGAACCAGAAAGAAGCTGAATCCCTGAATAGACCAATAATGAATTCTGAAATTGAGGCAGTAATAAATAGCCTACCAATCAACCAAAAAAATCCCAGAACTAGAAGGATTTACAGATTAATTCTACCAGAGGTACAAGGAGCAGCTAGTACCATTTCTTCTGAAACTATTCCAAACAATTTAAAAGGAGAGATTCCTCCCTAACTCGTATTATGAGGCCAGCATCATCCTGATGCCAAAATCTGGCAGAGATACAACAAAAAAAGAAAACTTCAGGCCACTATATCTGATGAACATTGATGCAAAAATCCTCAATTAAATACTGGCAAACTGAATCCAGCAGCACATCCAAAAGCTTATCCACCACAATCAAGTTGGCTTCATCCCCAGGTTGCAAGGCTGCTTCAATATTTGCAAGTCAATAAATGTAATTCATTACATAAACAGAACTGAAGACAAAACCACAATTATCTCAGTAGACATACAAAAGGCCTTCAATAAAATTCAACATAGCTTCATGTTAAAAACTCTCAATAGACTAGGTATTGAAGGAACATACCTTAAAATAATAAGAGTATATTTAAAATAATAAGAGTATATATTACAAATCTACAGTCAATATCATACTGAATGGGCAAAAGCTGAAAACCATTCCGTTTGAAAACTGGCACAAGGATGCCCTCTCTGACCACTCCTATTCAACATAGTATCAGAAGTACTGGCCAGGGCAATCAGGCAAGAGAAAGAAAGAAAGGATATTCAAATAGGAAGAGTGGAAGCCAAATTGTCTTTGTTTGCAGATGACATTATCTTATATTTAGAAAACCCCATTATCTCAGCCCAAAAGCTTTGTAAGCTGATAAGCACCTTCAGCAAAGTCTCAGAATACAAAATCGATGTGCAAAAATCGCAAGCATTCCTATATACCAACAACAGAGAAGCAGGGAGCCAAATCATGAATTAACTCCCATTCACAATTGCTACAAAAAGAATAAAATACCTAGGAATACAGCTAACAAGGGAAATGAAGGACCTCTTTAAGGGGAACTACAAACCACTGCCCAAGGACATCAGGGAGGACACAAACAAATGGAAAAACATTCCATCCTCATGTATAGGATATAATCAATATTGTGAAAATGGCCATATTGCCCAAATTAATTTATAGATTCAATGCTATTCCCATTAAACTACTATTGACATTCTTCACAGAATTCGAAAATCTATTTAAAAATTCATATGGAACTAAAAAAGAGCCCAAATAGCCAAGACAATCCTAAGCAAAAAGAACAAAGCTGAAGGCATCACACTACTGGACTTCAAACTATAATACAAGACTACAGTAACCAAAATAGCATGGTATTGGTACAAAACAGACATACAGACCAATGGAACAACAGCATAGAGAACTCATAAATAAGACCACACATCTCAACCATCTGATCTTTGACAAACCTGACAAAAACAAGCAATGGAGAAAGGATTCCCTATTTAATAAATGGTGCTGGGAGAACTGGCTAGCCACATGCAGAAAATTGAAACTATACTCTTTCCTTACACCTTATACAAAAATTAACTCAAGGTGGATTAAAGACTTCCATGTAAGACTCAAAACTATAAAAATCCTAGAAGAAAATCTAGGCAATACCATTTAGGACATAGGCATAGGCAAAGATTTCATGATGAAAATGTCGATAGAAATTGTAGCAAAAGCAAAAACTTGACAAATGTGATCTATTTTAACTAAAGACCTTCTGTACATCAAAGGAAACTATCATCAGAGTGAACAGACAACCTACAGAATGGGAGAAAATTTTTGCAATCTATCCATGTGGCAAAGATCTAATATCCACAATCTACAAGGAACTTAAATTTACAAGAAAAGCTAACAACCCCAATAAAAAGTGGGCAAAGGACATAAACAGACACTTCCTAAAACAAGACATTTATGTGAACAACAGAAAAATTTTTTAAAAAGCTCATCACTGATCATTAGAGAAATGTAAATCAAAACCACAACGAGGTACCATCTCACACCAGTTAAGAATGGGGGTTATTGACCAGGCGCAGTGGCTCAAGCCTGTAGTCCCAGCACTTTGGGAGGCTGAGGTGGGTGGATCACCTGAGGTCAGGAGTTCAAGACCAGCCTGACCAACATGGAGAAATCCCATCTCTAATAAAAATACAAAATTAGCTGGGTGTGGTGGTGCATGCCTATAAATCCCAGCTACTCGGGAGGCTGAGGCAGGAGAACACTTGAACCCGGGAGGCAGAGGCTGTGGTGAGCCATGAGCCGAAGTCGTGCCATTGCACTCCAGCCTGGGCAGCAAGAGTGAAACTCTCTCCAAAAAAAAAAAAAAAAAAAAAAGAATGGTGAATGGTGATTATTAAAAAGTTAAGAAACAACAGATATTGGGGAAGCTGTGGAGAAATAGGAACAATATTACACTGTTGGTGGGAATTTAAATTAGTTCAACCATTGTGGAAGACAGTGTGGTGATTCCTCAAATACCTAAAATCAGAAATATCATTTGACTCAGCCATCCCATTACTGGGTAAACCCAGTATGGGTATACAAAGGAATAAAAATCATTCTATTTCTATGTAATCATTCTATTAGAAAGATACATACACATATATGTTCAATGCAGCACTCATCACAATAGCAAAGACATGGGATCAACCCAAATACCCATCAATGATAGACTAGAAAAAGAAAATGTGGTATATATACACCATGGAATACTATGCAGCCATAAAAAGGAACAAGATCATGTCCTTTGCAGGGACACAGATAGAGCTGGAATCCATTATCCTCAGAAAACTAATGCAGGAACAGAAAACCAAACACCACATCTTCTCATTTATAAGTGGGAGCTGAACAATGTGAACACATAGACACAGGGTGGGGAACAACACACAATAGGGTCTGTCAGAGTGGGTGAGGGGAGAGAGAGCAACAGAAAAAATATCTAATGCATGCTGGGCTTAATACCTAGGTGATGGGTCGATAGGTTCAGCAAAACACCATGGCACAGATTTACCTATGTAACAAAACTTGCACACCCTACACATGTACCCCAAAACTTAAAATAAAAAAGTCCTTTTTTGTTCTCTCACCTAGCAATGTGTTTTTAATCTTTTCTTGTTGTTTTCTGTAACTGTAGTTTATTTACATTAAAATATAGTATTTTGTTTTTGCTTTAATGGTCTTGATTTTTATGAATTTAATATAGTTCATTTGTTTGTTCTACTGATTTATTCTGTTATTGAGAATCCTCCACATTTCTCATCTTGTTCTTTAAGGTGTGTTGATTAAAATTGTCCTTGCTTATTTCTGTGTAAATTTAGAACCAGTTTAACAACTTTCACTCATATACCCAGAAAATGTTATTTAGATTAGAAATGCTTTTTTAAAAATTTACTCTTGTCTTACGCTTTTATTTCAGAGGCTGGAAATGCTGTGAATCTATAAATAATCTAAGGAGAATGAGATATTTATAGAATTGAGTCTTTTATTTCATGTAACTTGTCATACATCTTCATCTATTTAGGTCAGGTAAAGCCACAGGGCCTAGAGTTGTTCATTATTGTCTTTGCACACTTTTGATTATTGATTTATCTCTTGTAATAATTTTAGAATTTTAAGATTTTATAGTATATTAATTTTTTTGTTGCTACGTATTTGTAGGTATTTCTGTATTAGACCTATTTTTTTTTTATGCCAAAGACTGAAGTCATGTAATATGAGTGACTCAGGATATTGTATTTTCATGTACCTTATTCTAGTAGGATTACATGTTTCTGGTATGTTTTATACTTTTATATTTTTAACCACATAAAACCTTATTATTAAAGTTCTATACAGCAGCGGTCCCCAACATTTTTGGCACCAAGGACCAGTTTCATGGAAGAAAATTTTCCATGGACCTGCAGGGATGGTTTGGGGTAATTCAAGCATATTACATTTTTGTGCACTTTATTTCTATTATTTTTACTTTGTAATACATGATGAAATAATTTTACAACTCACCATAATGTAGAATCAGTGGGAGCCCTGAGCTTGTTTTCCTGCAACTAAACAGTCCCATGTGGGGTTGATGAGAAACAGTAACAGATCATCAGGCATTAGATTCTCATAAGGAGTGCACAACCTAGATTCCTTGTATGTGCAGTTCACAATAGGGTTTGTGATCCCATGAGAATCTAATAAGGGTGCTGATCTGAGAGGAGGTGGAGCTCACGCAGTAATGCGAGTGATGGGGAGCGGCTGTAAATATAGATGAAGCTTCTCTAATTTGCCTCGCTGGTCACCTCCTGCTGTGCAGCCAGGTTCCTAATAGGCAACAGACTGGTATCAGTCAACTGGGAGTTGGGGACTGCTGCTATACAAGTCAGCATTTGCTTGCATTTCTCCAAATAATAGTAATGTTCTTTTCTCAATTTTTAGCTTTTATTTCTGCATTTTCATCTTGGATTATTTTTCTTCTTCTAAAACATCATTATTTTAATTTTTTTTTTTTTTTTGGTATGACTTGTTTGTAACAAAATGCTACCTGGAAGGGTAATTGCTAGCCCTGAGAGTGGTTATTTCTGTGATGAAATCATTTAATTAGAAAAGATGGTTCAAAATTTACCCCTTATTTACTTTATCTCAAGTAACGAATTGCACCAGCTGGGTCTTTGAAAGTATTCATTTTGACTTCAAATCACTGGCCAGGGTTTTCGTTTTGTTTTGTTTTGTCTTTTGAGATGAAGTCTCACATTGTCACCCAGGCTGGAGTGCAGTGACATGATCTCAGCTCACTGCAACCTCTGCCTCCCAGGTTCAAAGGATTATCGTGCCTCAGCTTCCCAAGTAGTTGGAATTACAGGCACGCACCTGGCTAAATTTTATACTTTTATTAGAGACGGGATTTCGCCACGTTTGCCAGGCTGGTCTCGAACTCCTGACCTCAAGTGATCCGCTGGCCTCGGCCTCCCAAAGTTCTGGGATTACAGGCGTGAGCCACCGTGCCTGGCCAGGCCAGAGTTTTTATGGGTGATAGATTTGCCCTAGACTTTCGTCTTGTAAGTAGAATCCATGCAATTGCAAATATATCCTACTGTATCTGGAGAAATGCCTGAGGTCAAATGGAAAGAGGATACAGAAACTCAAGGAGAAAGTTAGCTGGCTTTAATAATAAGATGTTGATGATTTATGAGAGGTCAAGTGGCTGGAAAATATTATTTCAAAAAATTATTTCTGAAAAATTCTTGGTCATTGTCTCTTCTCCTATTGTCTCTGTTCTTGGGCCTTCTCTTCCTCTATGGCTCTCATTAAAGCACATTAGACTTCCTCTTTGTGTCCTCCATGTTTTCATTATTACTACCCCATAGTTTTTGAGGGATCTATCTAGATAATTTATTTTGGCTTACTTTTCAGCTTCCTAATTTTCTATGGTTTTTAAAGAATTTTGGGCCCAAACTTATCGAGTAAGTTTTAATAACGGTCACCGTTTTTTATTTTGTTTTTGTTTTCACTTCTACGGATTTTATTTGAATCTTTCTCAAATAATCTTAGTCATATAACACTTTCTGATTCCCGCACATATTTTCAAGCCTGCCTTATTTTTAACATCATAAATTTTGTTTCATAATTAGTCTGATAATTCCAATACGTATGATAACTGTGTGGGTGAATTTTTGCTGCCTGTTTTTTCGTACTTGTTTTCCTACCTTGTTCATTCTTCTGTTACTCTGTCAATTGTGTGACTGGTTCTTTTTGACTTTATATTAGTCGCTATCTTTGAAAAGTAATTTTTGGACTTCTGAACAGCTGAGATGAACGTACCTCCTCCAGAAAGATTTTACATTTCTTTCTGCCAGGTGCCTATGGTACTATCATTTAGACACTTCATCAACCAAATTCAATGGTTGAATTCTCTCGACCCTCCAAGAATATGTTTCCTTAGGGTTCTAAAGAGGATAGAGTTAGTCTTTATCTGTAAGTTTCTGATGCTGGGACTGGTGTAGGTTTATTTCTAATTCAAGCATACCAAAAGATGCTATCCTGAATTTAGAGAGAGTCTCCATTTGTATCCATTACCTTGGCAGGACTCACGCTTTTATTTTCACCTTCCTTGCCCTCTTAGACCCTCCAAAGTAAGGGCTCAATGTTTCCAAGGTCTGCACATACCCTGAAGGTCTATGTACTGCTTAAGACTCCAAACTGTTGCTTACTCTTAAGCTTTTGTCTAATAATTCTTTATTATTTTGTCATCTCCTTGACGGTTGTGGTAAGATTTGTACAGGCACTTTATCCAGTATACTTTGTTGTTTTAATGGAAGAATTAGTTTGAATAACGTTAAGTGACATTAGAGGAACATTTTCCTGGAAAATAGTTTACTTTTAATTTAATATTGGTTTTAACCTATAGTTACTGGGCATTCATTACATGGCAGACATTGTGTAAAGAATCTGTTTTAATTCTTGCAAAATTCCTGTGATATGTATTTGAAAAACGGTCTTGCCCAAAGTCACTAAAGGCAAAAAGAGAAATATCTGTATAAAAGAAAAACATTGCAATATGAAATACGAAAACATTCTTTAGATTTCTCAGAGTTACCCAGTTAACTTTAGGAGAGAGTGATATTTATATAAAACTGTGTGTGTGTATAGATACACACACATACACACACTTATATATATAAAGAACACTATGTGGAGTACACATTTTATGAAGACTCCTCTCATTGTTCTAGAAAAAAAATGATGTTTGCAACTATACCTATTATAAATGGAATAGTATGTTCATATATAGCAACAGCAACAGAGACAGTAAGAAATAGCAAAATATTATATGTAGATAGAACATGAAATTGGGAGTGATATTGTACTAATTTAATTTCAGTGTTATTGCATACTTAGCAATGGAACTTCATTCAAGTTATTTAACTTTGTCCATTTGTCACCTATAAAAAGACAGGAATATTATTGATTTTATGTATTATTACATAGGTAGAATGTTGAAGTAGTGGATATGAATTTAAAAAAGCAGATCATGGCACATTATAGCTTATAATCTGGTTATTAATGTTTTTATAATTGTTATTTATTTGGGGAATAATAATATGTGCAGATTTCATATGCTTATAATTAATTTCATTCCAAACTATGTAGGCATTTTACTTTATGATGAATATATCTGGAAAAAAAATCTTACCATACTTATGCTAAGGTAATTATAAAGCAGGAAATGTTGCAATTTATTTAAACTGAAGATGGGGGACTCTTATGAACAAACATAGCAGATGGCTTCTGTTAAAGTGGAACTAACAAAAAAACTTCTTCAAAAATAATGACCATTAAAGGAATGCAATTCAAATACCAAACCAGTGTGTAGAACTGAAGAAATATTTCATTTAAAACTTAGGTAATTTAAAGAGAAGGTCACTGCTTTGAATTAATTTTTGTTCTGAAAGAGTAAAAGGTGAAACTGGCTCTCAAAAGAAGTAAGCAAACAACATAATCCTGAAGAATTAGGTGAAATAAATAGAAATAATAAGTAAAATAAACAAAAACAGTAGAAAGGCAGATCTCAGAGACAGCGTGTGAATAAGAGACACAGTGTGTGAATAAAAGGAATTCCACAAGAGAGATAAGGATAATTGAGTAATACTTTGCACAAGGATTTTAACTGGTAGCTGAATGGATTAACCAAGTCTCCAGCAAATTTAATAAAAATTAAATGAAAATACATAGATTTGTCCTCTGAAATTCCCAAATATAGAGAAAAATGGGAAAAAAGTATTTCCGAACTCTGTGTGTGTGTGTGTGTGTGTGTGTGTGTGTGTGTGGGTGTGCGCGCGCGCGCGCGCGTGCGTGTTGGAATGGAAAGAAAAGCAGCCTTCTCTAATCAAGGTAGACATTTGTAATCAAGGACGAGAGAAGGCAGTGGAACAATGTTTGAAGATAAATGTAATAGACTTTTGAGTGATCATACAAATTAAAGTCTAAAATGTACAGATTCATAGTATATTTTAACACTTGTTTCTGATCTAAGGATGGTGCTTGTAATATTATGCTGAACAAAAGACAATTGAAAGAGAGTAGACATTCCAGAGAAGAAAAACCAAAAACTTCCTGAAGCGGGAAATAATAGTGAGTACTGATCCTAGATGACTTTCTCTATTAATGAGAATACACACACACACACACCGGTGCACACACACACATTATTCTTGATACAACATAAGAGAATTCCTTTTAAATAACCTAAAATTAAGCCTTAAAAACTATGATAATACAGCCGGGTGCTGTGGCTCATGCCTGTAATCCCAGCACTTTGGGAGGCTGAGGCAGGTGGATCACGAGGTCAAGAAATCGAGATCACCTTGGCCAACATGGTGAAACCCTGTCTCTACTGAAAATACAAATATTAGCTGGGCGTGGTGGTGCTCGCCTGTAGTCCCAGCTACTCAGGAGGCTGAGGCAGAAGAATCGCTTGAATCCGGGAGGTGGAGGTTTCCGTGAGCCAAGATCGCCACACTGCCCTCCAGCCTGGTGACTGAGTGAGACTGCGTCTCACAAAAAAAAAAAAAAAAAAAAAAAAAAAAAAAAAAAAAACCTATGAGAACACAACCTAGGATTTTATTACAAGTTAGAGTATGGAAAGAAAAAAAAAACATTCTCAACTCTCTGGCCCAGCAACTGCTTCATAGAAGATTCCCAATAAATTACAGCTATGAGAAAAGCAATCATAATGGAGCACTTCTGTGTGGCAATGAGAGATATCATCTTCTGGGTAAAGTAAGTGACTAAAGTATGTATGAAAGGCAAAAGGACCTCTTTAATTCCTTTTATCTTAGGAGCAGTAGTCTCTGAGGATATAAGCTTGAGGCTTGCCCTTGGGAATGTCTGACATTTTAGATAATTTTGACAGGGATCTTCAAATTTTATGATGCCCGTATTGTGTAAAATAAAGTTCTAATGCCAACCATTAATGGCAGCAAAAAATATATCAATAGGCAATGAGAAATGTAGATTTTTAAAAAATCAATTTCAGTCTGAATATTCAGAAACGTATTTCTATAACCTATAGATAGCTAAATATTACATTGACCAAAGACTTGCCTTGTATATACATATACATGTGTATACATATACATAGCTTACAAATCTTACAATTATATATTATATACATACTATGTGTTATATAATATAATATATATTATAGTACAATATATAATGTATTATAATATATAATTGTATATATTATACAATATGCTGTAAATACTATATATATTTATATATTATATACACAATATATATTTATATATTATATACACAATATATAATATTTATATATCATATACACAATATATATTTATATATCATATACACAATATATATTTATATATCATATACACAATGTATAATATTTATATATTATATACACAATGTATAATATTTATATATATTATATACTATATATAATATTTATATATTATATATACTACATATAAAATTTATATATTATATATACTACATATAAAATTTATATATTATATATACTATATATAAAATTTATATATTATATATACTACATATAAAATTTATATATTATATATACTACATATAAAATTTATATATTATATATACTACATATAATATTTATATATTATATATACTACATATAATATTTATATATTATATATACTATATGTAATATTTATATATTATATACACTATATGTAATATTCATTATATATACTATATGTAATATTTATTATATATTTATAATATATAATTAATATATTATATTATTAATTATTAATTATATATTTATAATTAGTTGTATTTATAATTATATATTTAAATAATATATAATTTTATAACTTTATAAATATATAAATATATAAATGTATAAATATATAATTTTATATAAATTGACATAAATAAATTTTATATAAAATGTATAAAATTTTATTTTATATAAAATTTTTATATAAATATCTAAATATAAATCTATAAATTTATATATATAAATATCTATAAATATATAAATTTACATAAATATATATAAATATATAAATATATATTTATATATAAATATATAAATATATATTTATATATAAATATATAAATATATATTTATATATAAATATATAAATATATAAATTTATATAATAAAATAATTAGATAATATATAAATAATTATATTTAGAATTATATATTTATAATTATTAATTATAATACAATTAATTATATTATAATTATTAATATATTATATTATATAATTAATATATTAACATAGAATATATAATTAATATATTAACATAGAATATATAATTAATATATTAACATAGAATATATAATTAATATATTAACATAGAATATATAATTAATATAATAATGTATTATATATAATATATAAATATATAATACATATAATTATATATTATATACAATATATAATATATAATTTTATACTATATATTATATAATATACATATTATATATATACAATATATAGTTGTAAGATTTGTAAGCTATGTATGTGTATATACTTGTATATGCAATCACACATGCTACATGTATACCCATAAATGTAGCTTTTAGATATGATTTATAAATTAAATATAATATATAAAACTATTGAGTTTAAATATATATGTATTTACTTATATGTATTTTTAATTCTACAATAAGGGTTATTCTAAATTTAATTATAAATTAAATTTGCTTAAGGTCACACATGTAGTAAGAGGCAGCATTTGAACCCTTGCGTTTGGCCCCAGAGTCCCTGCTGTTAACCATTGCACTGTAATGCCCCAGTTATAACAATAAAAATAATATTATACTTTTATTGAGTGCTACTTATGTGTCAAGTACCATTCTAAGGATTTTGAAAGCTTATTTAATTCTCACAACACTCTCATAAAGGAGTTATTGTGATTATCAACATTTTTCAATTGGGGAAACAGTTGGGGAAATTTTGGTTATTTTTTAAAATTTGTTTTATTTGAGCTTTGAATTTACATCCAGCTAGACTCATACATATCTCTATTATATGGATCCAGATCAAGATTACTGAGTTAAAGTTCTGAATAATCAAGTTCCAGAATAATTTGGATAATAATTATTCTTGTTAGATGTGTTACTTTTACAAAATAATATGAGCAAACACACATTATAGGATAAGTAAAATGTATAGAGAAAAGGGTAGAAAATGGAACAGTCTTTTCTACGATTCAGAGACAGAGACAGAGATTCAATAGCAAATGATCAAGCCAATATCTCCCAATAAGTACAATTCAGATACATTTTCACTAAAAACGTTCCAGCCCTATCTTTTTATTCTCGTACCTAGAATTAAGCTAAAGCCTTGAATTACTCCCCAATGGCCACTTTAGAGAAGAGCAGAGGAATCCACTTACATACTAACAGTCTCTTGAAAAGTCAGGATGTTTAATTAATCGATTTAATCTGTTCTGTGATTCCTTTGAGCCCATTTTGATTAAGGTTGAATGCAAATAAATTATTATGAAAAGAAGCTCAGTTTGTTAATGCCAAATATATATTCAGTATTATTAGGGGAAAAGTTGAAGCTGTAAATTAAAGGTAGAATTGAAAAATGCACTCAGTGACCTTGGAAAACAACACTAAACAATCACTGTGCTTAGTTTCATTGAACAAGAAAACCTGAAATGATTCTCAAGACTGTGCTTTTGGAGACCACTAATTGACAGGAGCGGGCCATGAGATTAAACCCATTTGCTGTACTGATTATATTAATGTGTCCTTGATTTGGCACCTTGATTTTTAAATGTGTCACTCATTATTTACTTATATACTCAACTATTGATTCATTTTAAATTTCGGAGGTACTGAGAATTAAAAGCAATGCAAAGGTGTTTCTTTTTTTACTAAAGTGGACCATGTAAAACAAAATCTCTTAATGTTTTTATCTGCATGGTCTCTTATCCCAAACATGTTTTACCCCATTGCAGCATGCCAAAATCCAACCACTCATTCAAAACTCTCTTTTATAGTAGATTTTCTTTTAGAGTCCTCCTCTTTTCTATCACAGTGGTAGTGCCCAACTTTAGAGCTAAAACAAACTTACTCTACTTACTCTTCGATAATGTAGTTATATTTCATTATGCAATATCATTTATATGTCTTTATGTATTTATTTACTTATTTATTTGAGAGACCCTATAAATATACATAGGAAGGTTAGACATCAGGTTTTGAGAAAATATTTCATAAATAATTTACATTTTTAGATATTGACTTATCTTTATCATGGTGCCTTTCAAAAGTAAGATGTTTATTAATATTGACTGAATGGTATAGAAACTCTTTGAAAAGAGTAAGTTTCTCCTATTGACCCACTATGTAGCTGGACTCTGTTCAGTGAAAATGTCTTCAACAATTCCTACCTAATGAACCCAGATAATGAAGAAAATTTAAGATTCAAGAGAGTTCAAGTCAAATACTCATAATTTGTGGCAGCAACAATAACCTTGGTATTATAATGATTCTATAGATAATGTTACAACATAGCAAAATTCAGCCAAAAATATTACTTGAGATAGTTACTGAAATTTAGTAATTAGAAGAGCATCTGATCAGTTCTGCAAATAACTGTCATTAAAAATACTTTCATATCAAAGTTAGTAATTAAAGTATTACTGAGATATATGCATTAATTGCTTTGTGAATATATTCTCTCATTTTCTTTGTTCAGCTGTATGTCTATGCTTTGGTTTCTGATAAATATCCACATTTTAAATAAGATGACTGTGCCTATGAAAATTTTACATTATATTTTATTCTATGTATATGTAAAATATTAAAAGCAAAAGCGAAATTGGTTAAAAATAATAAAGTCTTCATAACTGTTACCTTCCCTATAAATATAACACTTTTGATACACCAATAAAATTGCACTGCACATATTATTATAGACATTACTTACTTTTTCAGTAAAAGCATATATAGTTCTCTGCTTTCTGAATCAGTTTCATCCCACCAGACCCCATTACACACTGCAACAGACCTAAGCATAAAGGGCTAAAAAATTTGTATTAATTTGGAAAAAAATATATATCCACAAGGGGACAGAATAAGTGAGGTTTCTGTAGTTTTGAATATGTTTTCTTATTGAATTTGCACCTGCTTAAAACTCTGCCAAATTATGGTACACGGGCCAGTTCTATTTTCCATTTTCTTTGTAAATTAAAAGTAAAATAAATGCTCAGTTGAGCCTAGACAACAGATGGTCTGCAATAGGTATAAACATATTGTACCATATGTCTGAATGGCACTTTCAGGAAGTACTTGGCACTGCTAAAATATTTCACTTGCAATACCTATGAATACACATATAGTACTTCAATTAAACATAAAGTGACTGATTTACTCCCTACCATTTGTGAGATGTATAGCTTGGAAATAGACTGTGTACTCCATCAGGAAAACAGCTAAGTTTCACTGAAGGACCCCTGATGAGATAGAGATAAGCCAATACACAGAGATAAGTGTGTGGAAAATTTTGTCCTTGGATAGACCATAAATAAATATACACAAATGAAGCTCGCTGTGGTTTCCAGACTGTCTCTGGGGTAGCTAGATGTCTTGAGAAGAAATCTTATTGTACCTGAAGCTCTTTATACTTTTCTCTACTGTGACTGTCCTCCTTTCTATCCCATTCCCAGACACTTTCTATTCCTCATTGAAAAATGGAAAAATAAGGACACTTTATAATTCACAATTTAAACACTTTAATGAGCAAAAATCCTTGAATTTTAGAAATATTATCTTGTAGCCAGGCACTGTGGCTCACACCTGTAATCCCAACACTTTGGGAGGCCAAGGCAGATCACTTAAGGCCAGGAGTTTGAGACCAGCCTGGACAACATGGTTGAAATCCCGCCTCTACCGAGGATACAAAAATTAATTGGGCATGGTGGTGTGCCCCTGTAATCCCAGCTACTCGGGAGGCTGAGGCAGGAGAATTGCTTGAGTCCTGGAGGTGGAGGTTGCAGTGAGCCAAGATCGTGCCAATGCACTCCAGCCTGGGTGACAGAGTGAGTGTCTCAAAAAAAAAAAAAAAAAAAAACTTCCTTTACTCATATGTCATATTACAGCAGCCTATAATTGATCTAGGTTTTTAACTTTGTATCTAGCAAGACACAGGTGCTGTGCATGTACTTGTTCAGATTCATATAGTTCACCTATATGTGAGTGCTTAATTTTGTTCTTTTAGAGGATAAATGGATGTGTAGATATGGGTTTCTTCATTTTTTTGTACTTTTCCCCTCAATGAGCTTAAACCAATTAAGTAGCTTCAGATGTCACTTCTATGCAATTATCACACATCTAAGCTGCAGATTGAATCTCCAACTAACAGGTAAAATTTATGCATGATTGTTGCTTCAGCACACCTTACTAAACCAATGAAAGAACACCATTCATTTTACTACCATGGGAGCCCCTATCAGACTTATTCCAATTTAGGCTTCCATGGAATAGATTCTGGATTCAGTATGTGCACAAATCATGAGCAAAACTTCCATCATCTTTGTCACTTAACCTTTTTTCCAACTGTCCCATTCAATTGATGGCTATTTCTTCTGACTTTTTTTGATTGGCTCTTTAATATTCATATATTTTGTACTCCCACGATCCTAATTTAGGGTATTACCATCTCTTTCTACTCTGGAATACTGAAATAACTAAATAACTTCCTTAACATTTAGTGATGTTTTTTACATTCTATTGTTTTTGATAATTTAGATTTTAATTGTTTCAAAATGGTATAAATATAACATATTTAGTATGATTTCAAATATAAGAAAATGTACAGTGAATCGTTATTGTTTATTTTTTCAGGCATTTTAATCGTACTTGGTAGAACTAAATAAAATCAAATTACAACTGTGTATTATGTAACTACCTTAATTCAATTATGATTACATTGTAGATATTTTTACACTATATAATATGTTTGGAGTACCAGGTGCACACTCTTTAGTGTCAAAAATATTGAACATATATTAATACAGCACTAATTTCTTTTTTTATATAAAAGTGCTTGATCAGTGGAGCTTCTGGCCATTGCTGAAGAAATCCTATTAGACCACTCATTCTACAGTTAAAACCTATACATTCCTGTAAACAAAAAGGTATCTAAATGTACAAAAAAACCCCAAAAGCACTTAGATATTGGTAAATGGAAGAAAAGATGGAATTAAGCAGTATTACTTCCAAATGTATTTCTTAAAGTTTGATCCCAGATGAGATTCTGTCTCATCAGAGACAGAATAACGCTAAGAACCCACAAGCTTAAACTCTTAAAGAAACAGAAGACAGAGTTTGCTCTGCCAGAGTCACTGAAAGTGAGAGGAAAAAAATTCTTGGATAGAAGAGCACTCAAAAGGAAAAGAACCAGATCTGTTTGTAAACTTTGCCAGAGTTTGTGACCAATCCCTAGATTTTGAAGTATTGTGGTATACCTCAACCTCAGCACCATAGGTAAGGCCAAAAGGAATGAACTGATATGTGAGCTTTTGTCAACACAGCAGAGATAAATCTGCATCTCGGGCGAATTGAGTGTTTGTTTAACAACAAAATCAATATTTATAGAAAGTACATACATGCCAGAACCCAGAGATTCCATCAAATACCAATCCCTCATTATGTCCAAGATAGAAGTTAAAATTAGTCAGCAACTGAAGACAAAGGAAAATATGACTATCCAGAAAATAAGAAAATCAATAAAGACAGAATTTAGATGACCCAGTCAGAAAATTACAGCACAGTAATAGAAATTTTACAAAGAATCCAACTGCAATTTTGGAATTGAAAACTTACAATATGTGGAAGGAAAAAAGCAAGAATTCTTCGCTGAATGAATGCAATAAGAATGGAGATAACAGAACAGAGTTTCAGTGAATTTAGCATAAGATCAATAGAAATAATTTTTTCTGAAAAAAGGAGAGGAAAAATATTTTGAAAAGCTAAGTAAATTCTTCTGAAGAAAACACAAGACAATATATTATGGACTGATTTTTTTCTTCTCAAAATTTGTATATTGAATCCCTGATCCCCAATGTAGCTGTAATTGGGAATAGGGGCTTTAAGAAAGCAATTAAGGTTAAATGACGTCAAAAGGGTAGAGACCTAATCCGTTAGGACTGGTGTCCTTACAAGAAGAGGAGGAATTAGCAGATCTCTTTCTCTCTGTCTGTCTCTCTCTCCTTCGCTGCACACACAGAGGAAAGGCCATGTGAGTACACCATTAGAAGAGGTATGTGCCCAAGAGAGGAAGAAGGTGCTGCACCGGAAATCAACTCTTCTGATTCCTTGACCCTGAACTTCCAGCCTCCAGAACCATGTGAAAATAAAATTCTGTTATTTAAACCACGCAGTCTGTGTTTTCAATTATGTCAGCCCAGTCAGACTAGTAAAGAATGTAATTTTTTATTTCAGTAGTTTTTGGGGTACAGGTGGTTTTTGTTACATGGACAAGTTCTTAAGGGGTGATTTCTGAGATTTTTGGCACCTGTCACCTGAGCAGTGTACACTGTACTCAATATGTAGTGTTTTATCCCTCACCTCCTCCTACCCTTCCCCCTGAGTCTCCAAAGTCCGTTATATCATTCTTATGCCTTTACGTACTCATAGCTTAGCTCCCACTTAAGAGAACATATGATATTTTGCTTTCCATTCCTGAGTTGCTTCATATAGAATACTTTTATTTAAAAGTTTAGCAGATAAACAATTAGAAACCAAGAGTTTGAGGATAAAATGTGTCAGTAAAACTATCTGAAGACATAATGTCAGAAATTTCCTCGAGATGAAAGCAAGAATTCACTGATTGAAGAAGCTCAGCAAAGCCAAGCATAACTAAAAAAGAGGGCACCTCGTTATCACACTTCCAAAACCAACAATAAAAAAAAATCATCAAAGCAACCAGAAAAGAATAACATCACATATAGGGAAACAGATATCAAGATGACCAGCTTCTCATCATCTTAAAATATGGAGACTGAACAACAGTAAAACAATATGTTCAAACTGTTGACTAGAAAAAACAAAAACTTGCCAACCAACAGTTCTACATTTAGCAAAAAAATTATTCAAGACCAAAGTGAATAAACACATTTTTGTATTTGTAAGTAAATGAATACTAAAATAATTCATCTTCAGCATACCTGTACTATAGGAAATGCTAAAGGAAGCTTTTCAGTATGATTTGAAATAAATCCAATGGAAGCACATAACTTCAGGGAAAAAAAAACATCAACAGGAAAAGCAACATTAAAGAAAAATGTGAATAAAGAGACTAATATACGTATATTATATATATTTTATAATATAAAAACATTTAAATGCAAAACATAATTTTGCAGTGTAGAAATTATTAAATAGATTTAATACATATGAAAACAAAATGATTAGGGAGGAAGAAATTGGACCTATAGTTTTGTAATTTTTCTACTTTTTTTATGTTGTGAACAATGTTATCTTCAAATTGACTCTGAAAATGTACTTGGGTATAGTGTAATCCTTAGAGAAAACTAATGCAAATAAATATAGCTAAAAACCAATCAACAAATTAAGATTCTAAGAAGCATTCAATTAACGGAAGTCAGAAGAGTAGCAAAGGGAATAAAATATATAGGAACAAAGAAATCTAAAATATAACTTGGTAGGTAGACATATATTCCAATATAATAACAAATATATGAAATGTTAATAAACTAAGAGCTCCAAATGAAAGAGTCAGAAAACAGCAAAATAGAAAGATTAAGCTATATTTTATTTGGAATATATACAATTTAAATATAAGGAAATAAATAAGTTGAAAGCATATGGATGAAAATTGAAATACTATGCAAATGGTAAACATACAAAAGTCATATTGGTTACATTCATATTAGATTAAGTAGAATTTAAACAGGGTGTTATAAAAGATAAAGAAAGTTTATTATATTAGAAGTGGGAAAGACTCAGGGTCTATTTGATTTTTACACATTCACAATTTTTATCTAGTCAAATAACAGGACTTCAGAATTTAAAGAAAAACTGATATTATTGAAAAGAAAGATACACTACAATTTACAGTTGATGATTTCACCAGTTTTCCTTTAGTAATTAAAACATATAGACACAGAATCAGTAATGATACAGAGGTCATGATCAACGTTCAATCAAATTGACTTACATGACACTTGCAGACACAACAGCAAACAATAACAACAACAAATTAAGAGCCTTTGCTGCGCACTGCCAAAGACTCACACCCTGAGTCTTTCCCATTATCTAGACATCAAACAGTTCTTAATGCACTTTAAACGGTTGAAATAATTAAGAGTATTTTCTTGGGTCACAATCAAATTTAATTTAAAACATATAACAGAAGATACCTAGAAATATTGCAAATATTTGAAAAGTAAAAATAAAAAAAAAAGACTATTTTTGAACTTCACTATTGAGAAATTCCACGATAATCTTAAATATAATTAAAAATTTTGGAGAAATTAACAAAATATAAAAGTAAGCCTTAAACGTGAATAGCTTATGCCTGATACAGAGGAAAGTATATATAAGACCCAGGTTGTTATTTTTATTATTATTGATAATTCAGAAGTCACACAACTCCATGTGATTTTGGCAAAAATACTGGAAGTTTAAAATGCTTGAGGTGTCATACTGACTAAAAAAAGGGAATACATCATTTTGTTTCCTTTAATTTGCAAAAGCTGCAACTCAGGAGCTAGGTTATGTGGAGAAGCTATATGGCCATGTGCAGTTCCAGAAGCTAATGATCTAGTCCCAAAGAGCAAAATAACCAAAACTAATCCTTACAAAGTGTTAATCTAACATGTGAAAGACCTCAACAACTTTTCCAACTCAGTATCCACCCTTCAAGCCAATCTAAATGATAGATTTATCGATGATTGTGAAAATATTCTTCAGATGCATAACCATAAGGTTGTGTAGAATAAAGAAAGCAGAAAACGTACAATTTAAGTAATTTTAGACACCAAATAACAAGATTCATAATGAAAGTTGCTTTGTCAGCCCTTGCTAAGCAAAATTTCTTTCAATATAATATAATGAAATAAAATTCACTAAGAAAGCCTTAACAATCTGATTCTAATTAATAAGAAAGCAGTACAGCTCTTAAGGTTGATGTCAATTTAGTTTTCAGAGCTGATAATTTATTATAATTAATACAATTACGTTCATAATTTAATATTATGACATTAATGTAAGCAAACTTTCTTCTTATGCTGACATTTATCCTTTGCTATTGCAGAAATTAATCATAAATTTATTTGCTTCATTTTTAAGTATTCATAATCCCTCTGCAAATATGTCATTCTGTAAATGTAATAAAAGAAAAAAAGGTTTTGGGAATTAATTTAATTTTATTTTATTAGACATAATCATGTACAATGTTGTAACTGGCATTTATAAAATAACAACTCAGAAAAAAAGGGAAAATATCAAGACAAGGTTACAAATAACATGAACATGAAGATAAACAAATTATATGAACAAACACACATACTTCACACACGCATATGTGTGTAGATGAACTATATTAGTGAAATAGTTTTGTTAGTTTACTACAAATTATTTCCCAGATAATTTCAATTTGTATAATCTACAAAAAGTGGGGAAATTTCCCCCAAGTTAGATGTAACTCATAAAATATCCCAATTTTAAAAAGAAACAGTAGAATTATAAGCAAAAAAAGAAAATAAACATAAATCAGACTGGATGAATAAATGGATAGATGGATGAACAGAAGAATGGATGGATGAAGAAATAGAGATACACAAATAATGAAAACAAGTTAGCAAAATGTATTTATAATGCTTCCCAATTCATTGTTTCTGAAACATTGAAATTATCTATTTTAATCAAGTAAAGTTTCTTATTGTGGATAAATTAAAATTTATTTTTCTCCCATACCTAATTATCCCAGTGATATTTCTTTCAAATGTCTGTATGATCTAATTCACTTGACATCCCCCAAGCAAAATCTAATTAATTTTATTTTTGTCCCTTGCAATTTCTTATTTTATTATATTATTTATATTATTACCTTTTAGGGGTTTCTTTTTTAAAAATGTCTTACTATATGTGTTAGTGAAACATTACCTTTCATGCGCCTTTCTAGCTCATGACGCAGGGTCCAGGTGCATGGCCTGGTGTAAACACTGTAAGAAAAATCTATCATTTGCTTCGATAAAAGTGACAACATTTTTAGAGTATTAAACTAAACTTTCCAGAAGACCTAACTTTAATCCTCAAATATCTACTTGCACTGAGGTACTGAGTATAATCTCCTTGTCCTCATTTCCCTCATTATGCATTTAGAAGGTTGTTATAGATCTCGAACTCTAACTAAAGCTACCAGTAAATCTATGTGCATAACTGATAAAGCAGACCCACCCTCTCTGTATATAGATAGTAGGAATACTTTTTGCTAGAAAAATAAAGATTATTTCAACTTTTGTTAAAAGGAAGATTTCAGCATGCATGTCTTAATCATTACAAGACAGTGAATATTTGTGATGTAGTGTTGATTAGTGTAATAACATACCTGTTTTTACCTAACAGTAAATTTTAGTAAATAATTTTTTCAAAAGCTTTTTTATAATTACTTTTCTTCTCGTGAGTAAATTTATATTCTAGGTTTTCTTAAATAAATAACATGGTTTTTATTGTTGATAGTGGTGATACGGTAGTGGTATTATTTTTGCATTATTTATAAGTTTGCTCATGAGAGACACAAGTAGGAAAGACTTCAGGGGAGATGATTTTATAGCTTAAAAACATCAAAAATCCAGCTTCTTTTACTCTTTGCTTGGCCAGCCACAGTGTACATTGATGCCTGGCTTCTTATTTATTTACAACATGTTGCCGTCAAGACCTGGGGCAAGATGACACTTCACACTTACTCAGCAAAACTGGGAGTTTGAGTTCTTGTGAATTTCTTGTAAGAGCTAAAAATGTTCTATTCTCAGAATCCGTCTTCAGACTTTGCCTGTTCCTTAATTGGTTGAAATTTTGTCTTAGGTGCACAATTCCCAGGTAACTATAATTGTTTTAGAGCAACCAGATGATGTGTAATAGGTAAATGTTGAAGTGTCAATCAAAATGTTTTCTATTTTTCTATATAAGCCATTACAAAATATTTCTGCTAATTATGCTAGCTACTCTTTCTAGCTAAAGCAGACATATAACCATTCCCTGTCTTGGTTTCTTTTATAATGTCTAGAACTTTGGTTACTGCAGATAAACAACATCCCTTAATTTACCTTTGAAAATAATTCTGACATATTTTTGAAAGATAAAGATATTATTTTTTTCCAAAAGATTTTGTTATACTATTAACTATTTATGTGATGTTTAGGGCATTACTGTAAATTTACTTTCAGCTCTAAAATTCTTACTCTTTAAACATATTCTGGTTGTCTCCTGGCTTTGTTTTGGATATAGAAAAATCACATTTCTTATGGACATGTAAGATCACTATTAATCAGAATACAGAGGTGTTTTTCACTAGGTTATGTGTTATAAATATCTGAGTTTAAAATTTTATTTGTTATCTCCTATGCCAAAGTGACTGGGAGAGCCAGACAAGAAAATCTTTAAGTGTGATAAGACACATATAATTTTTTCATACAGTAGTTAATACATGTGCAAAGATAAATATACTAAAACTAGAAAGAAACACACTAAAACCTAAGTACTTTTATAGAAACAATAGAATATTACAGTTTTATATTACTGGATGATTGCCTCAGATATTTCTAACCTCTGAAAACATTTTGCCCTTTATAAATAACTCATACCTTATTTTTTACATTTTAACCCTATACATTGGTGATTTCTTTTAGGTTTTGTCATTTTCTATGTTTTTATATGTATAAAATAACTTTCGTATTGATAAGGTAAATGAATAGACTTTGCACTCATTGGCTGATTGACTTAAGATATTAACTGTTGTATTCTGATTTATGTAGTCTAGTAATTGATTTTCTTGATGAATATGGCAGTGTTTATTTATGGGCTTATTTGTCTAATTATGTTGATAAAGTCTGCAATATCTTTAATTCAGTGACAGAGAATATGAAAGATCTATATTGTGAATTCAGTGATAGAGAATATGCAGATCTATATGATCTGTTGTAAATAAACAACATGGCTGAACCCACAAGTGGAATCATGGTATTCATATGCAGGATAGTCTCCATGCACTTTCTATGTGCAACTGAACAACCTTTGAGTTTATGAAAAATTAGCAGGATAGATGAGGGAAGCAAGGCAGATTAATCACATTTTGATAAAATATCCACTTTTATTAATAGGTATGTTTTCCAGCTTTCTAAGTGAGATTTGTGATAGTTGAGAGGACCCTCTTATCATAAGGTACTAACAAAGGATCAATATGCTCATTTTCTACCTACAGAATTGACCTCAAAAGCATGCGGCCTTGAACGTCTAAACAAAATACCATTATTCCCAGGATTTAGAATGGTCAATAAAAGGCAAAGATGATAATTTGTGGCTATATCTATATTTATATATCTCTCTCTCTTCTTTCTCTTTCTCTCTCTCTCATATATATATGAGAGAGATCATATATATATGATATGAGAGTGGGACAGGGAAGTGCTGGGTAGAGAAGGGTGGGGTCCCCAACAAGGGCTCCACCCTTGAGCCTGTGCCCACGGACCTAAATGAGGAGAGGCATTTCTGTTTTCTGGCCCAAAAAGGTGCCTTTTGGCCCACCCTGCCCCCCATCCTGCGCCCATATAAACCTGAGAGACCTTAGTGGGACACACAAGTGGCTGGATGTTGAGAGGAGCAGAAGAACACATCAACAGACAGCAGCAGACACTGGCAGGCCATCTACGTTGGAACGCTGCAGACAAGGATGGAAATTTGGCTGGTGGCAGTCGGAGGAGGGTCTGGCCACTGGGTGGCCAGACTCCAGGGGAAGACCACCTTTCCACTCCATCTCCCTCCTGGCTCCCCATCCACCTCCTGAGAGCTACTTCCACCACTCGATAAAATCTTGCAGTCATTCTCTAAGCCCAAGTGTGATCCAATATTTCTGGTACACTAGGGCAAGGACCTGGGATACAGAAAGCCATCTGTCCTTGCAATAAGGCAGAGGGTCTAACTGAGCTGATTAACACAAGCTACCTACAGACAGTAAAGCTGCAAGAGCACACTGTAATATGCCCACTGAGGCTTCGAGAGCTGTAAACACTCAACCCTAGACACTGCCGTGGGGTCAGAGCCCAAAAAAATCATCCCCACGACCTGCCCATCTGCATGCTACCCTGAAGGGTTTAAGCAGCAGGTCACCAAAGAAGCAAGCCACAACCCTGTCGCATGCCCCGCGAGGGGAATAAGGGAACTCCTCCCATTTAATATGTATCTGTCTACATCTGTATCTCTATTTCTAAGTGTACCTCCCCGTCTTTCTATCTGTTGTTTATGATCTCTCTATTTAAACGTATATTATTTTCATGTTGAAAGTAGTTTGCAGACACGGTGACCCATTAGTCTGAATAAGTTAATGTCTATTATTTATGAAAAAAGGCATCAAATATTACAACTAGGAAATTAACTTGGAAATAATACTAATAATGACCTGCAGACCCTATTTAAATTTCACCAGTTTCAATCATGTCCTTCATAGTAAAGGGATCCAATATAACATTGCACATTACATTTATTTATAAACTCTTTTTACTCATACAACCGAGAATAGTATTTTAGTCTTTCCATTATTATCATGAACTTAATTTTTTGGGACTACTGAAACATTTTAGACAATGCTCCTATTATTTGACTTTGATATTTCATCACGATTACATTCCATTTAGCACTTGTAGCAAGAATATCACAGACATGATGTGTGTTCTCCTTCCACATTATCAGCTGATGTAGGATAACAATTTGCCCTATTATGGAAGATGTTCACTTTGATCAATAAATTTCTGTGATATATTCTAGGTGTCCTCACTGTTAATTTACTCATTGTCTTTTTTCAAATTAAAAGTATTTTGTGGAGAGATAATCTGTGACTACATAAAAATTCTGTTCTTCACATTTTCACCCATTACTTTGGGCATCCATAGATACTATTCCATATCAGTTGTTGCTAGATAGGTTACCAAACTGTGATTTTTCTAATTTCATAATGTCTATACCTTTATTATTAGGCATGGAAGGATTTTTTTTTCTTCTCTCATGTCCTTTGGCATGTGTCTCTCATTCTTTGACAATTTGATTATTTTCTGACACAGCTAAATATTTCAGGCTTATCTTATTTCTTATTTGGCCATTTCTCCAAAGAATCTGTATTTCTTATGGTAGAAAAAATATTTAGAAATGCAAGATCTCAGCACTAGATTTTCTTATTGTTGCTAGGTGGTTACTACTTCCAGACTTTCTTAGTGGACAGACCAAGGAGATATAGCATACACACACACACACACACACACACACACACACACACACACACACAAGTATATTTCTGTCTGCACTTATCTACATGTATTGAAAACCATTACTTCACACCAATACCTCCTACTTTATTCCAGAACCATATAGTCCATTTGTCTCTGATTCTTTATTTGTAACTCCCTTCTCTGACAGTGAGAAACTTTACTTCTGTTTTTTTCCAAGTCTTTATATTTTTGCTCAATCCTCCTCTACCTGCCAACCCTGCCAGGCTATTTCTTCACTCAGCTTTAACAGTCAGGCTGTCCTTTACCGCATTTCTTGTTCCGTTACAAACATTGCTGGGCTCTTGACTATTAACTCGTGGCTATGATTCAGAAGGCCATCTTCAAAAAAAGATCATGGAAGGAGAAGGGCTGTAATGTCTTTGCCTCCCCTTATGTTTTTCTCTTTGTAGCTATTATTTTTGATATGATTCTTAAAGTTTGCTTCATCTTTATTGTGTTGGTCTTAGTTTTATGGAGAAATATTAGAAAAATTGCTAGCAAAATAGGAAAGTTCAATCTCTAGCAAGGCATAAATAATGTTATAGGAAATTGAAACATTCATTTACTTATTCG
Organism: Homo sapiens; assembly: GCF_000001405.40. Taxonomy (NCBI): domain Eukaryota; kingdom Metazoa; phylum Chordata; class Mammalia; order Primates; family Hominidae; genus Homo; species Homo sapiens. The sequence continues at coordinate 84,722,503 of NC_000013.11, forward strand.
GTGAACGTATGTATATATATTATAGATATATTTATACATAAAATGTATGTACATAATATAAAATATATGGTGACCTATAAGTGTATATGTATGTGTATATCTTACTATATAGCTTAGATTTATAGGTATATATTATATGTGTACACACACAGAGAGAGATAAAAAAGACAGAGATAGAGGCGTACAAAGAGAGACAAAGAGATCAACAGAGACATACAGACCATCTTCTATTGTCCAGGAACGAAGACATAAAATGACACATAACTTCTCTAAAATCAAGTAGCTAAAGAAAATTGTATTTAGATATCAATGTCATTGCCATACTTTTAAATACTATCTTTTAATGATTGATAGTTTATATATTTATCTTGTCATAACTAAATTAATTTTTTAATTGCTTTAAAACTTCATATAAAATTAACTCACTATCCAAAATTTATTTCATTTATTATGTCCTTGGTTAAAAAAAAGGAGACCAAAATAGGGACAGAATACTGTCTATTGTTGAGACAAAGTAAAATAATAGTGATAATGATAATCACCATGATAATAACAATTAAAATAAAAACTTTAACTAAACAGATTCTCTATGTATAATTGAATTGACCACACTTCTCTTGAGAAGAAATCTACTGAGTATCTTTATGTAGGAACACACATAAGAATAGCTTATTGCCTTTCTGATTGTTCATTTCCTTTTTGAATAGGCAGAAAATTATTATCAATATAGAACTCTGTCTTTGAAGGTAATTTTAATCACCAATCACACATATAGTTTGTAAATTACCCTGAAGTACAATTCCACAGTACATAAGAATTTAATAAACTTACTAAGACAGGTCCTTAGTGTCAGATAAAATACAATACTTACAGATGAAATTACTTTTCATGCTATAGTTGAGGAAAGGCTAAGCAATTTCCTACAAACAGTTATTATTGACCACTCTGATGGTAGCATGTGCTAAAAAGAAATTTATTCGTCTATTTTAAGCCTCTGGATTTTCAGTTTATAGTCTAACACCATCCCTATATCTGATTTCTATTAAGCTAGGAGATGAAGCAGATTGAATATTTTCAGAGACCATTAAATAGGCATTTAGATTTTGTTGTTAATTCAGACTTGACATACTGCAATACTAATACTACAAAAGGTGACTTGTTTAGAATGCTTATTGCACTTTTTTATGTCTTGTTTCTGATTTTGGGAGAATTATTTTTTCCTCTTATCAATGTGATATAATTATGTGGCTCCCATGTTAATGAAATGATTATGATGATGCCACAAAGTAACTAGATATTATAGTCTTTTTTTCATAAAACTTTGAAATTTGCAGTTTGGAAGACTGAACAGTGAATGAAATTTAGTCACTGTTTATGTAAGTCATATTTTACAATTGTAGCTTTTATTTGCAAGTTACATAATAAAAATGTAATAATAACCAGCAATGATTTTGTTAAACAAATTGATGAGTAACATATATTTATTGTTTTCAATGTGCAAGAACTTTTCTACCCCTTTTGATAACTATTCTGTCCATTGTATAATAAAAGGAATCTCAAGTACACAGGTGGTAAATAACTCATGTAAGGTCAAAAACTAAATTTAGAGAGATGGAATTCAAAAATAATAGGTCATCATGATTAAACATTAGTCAACATATAGTTATTCAGCATTGAGTAAGTAAATGTATATTTTTGATATAATGTAGTTATTATTGCTTAAGATAATGCTTTTTATTTATTTTCCTGTTCTGTATAGAAATTGCATTTCTAAAAACTTATTCTCATCAACTATCAGTATTAGTTACCTATTGCTATGAAAAATTAACAAACAGTGGCTTAATATAATGCAAATTTATATTATCTTTCAAATTTATCTTATGGTTCTGGAGGACAAAAGTTTTCAATGGTTTTCGCTGGAATAAAATCTGGGGCTGTGTTCCCTTGAGAGGGTGCACTAGAAAGTCTGTTCCCTTGTGTTTTCTGGCTTCTAGAGGCTACCTGTATTCCTTGGCTCCTGGCCCATTCTCAATCTTCAGTCACATAAGCAGGACCCCGCTTCCATGGTCACATCTCCTTCTCTGACTCTGACTTTTCTGCTTCTTTCTTATCTGGACACTTGGGATTACATTGGGTGCACCTGGATAATCCAGGATCATCTCTTCATCTCAGGATCCTTAATTTATCGGAAAAGTTCTGCATTTTCAATAAAGGGAGGGAAACAAGTGCACACATTTTGATATGTGGACGCAGAGTATAAGATACAAATATCTAGGATGGATTTGATATACTTTCTAAATGTTCACAGATTACAAGTTTGCTCTTTGAAAACATGAGTCAAGCAAATAGATGATAAAATACTTATTTTTTTCTTAAAAAACAGAAAGTAGCTTTATTCTTATAGAATTTTATTTATTTCTATAGAATTTAGAAATAAGATTTTCCTTCTAAAGAAGACTGAGGATTTTGAAAATCACCACAATATGTGCCAAATCACTGAAAGAACACAGACTGCCTCCCTGACAAGAATCAGTCTTAGTAAATGAATGCATGTTATTTAATGAAGAACGTGCTAATAGGAGAGGAAGATGTTGAAGGATACTTAAGTGCAAAATACATAAGATAAATACTGCATATTATGGTATGTGTCCGTCTCCACTCAGGGAGGTAAAATGGCAGATGATTTCACTATTTCTAGTATTAAGTGCATCTCTATTAAGATAAGTTCTTATAGCTGATCCACACAAAGAGGTTTCTAATGAAATCTGATTCCAAGGGGTGAATAACTTAGGTAAGATTTTTCTGTACCCCATAGTTATCACATTGTTCATTGTAAATATTTAAATTTGAATTCTAATTTATAGAATGTAGAATAAATATAAATCTAGTTTATATGATGGGATGTCAAGCACAAGTTATAAATGATACAACTATTCTCAATAAATCAGGAAATTAAAGTCTTTAAGCCTCCAACCTTAGGGCTAGACTTTAAAAATTGGTGAATTCGTTTCTACCAGAGGTACAAGGAGGAACTGGTACCATTCCTTCTGAAACTATTCCAATCAATAGAAAAAGAGGGAATCCTCCCTAACTCATTTTATGAGGCCAGCATCATCCTGATACCAAAGCCGGGCAGAGACACAACCAAAAAAGATAATTTTAGACCAATATCCTTGATGAACATTGATGCAAAAATCCTCAATAAAATACTGGCAAACCGAATCCAGCAGCACATCAAAAAGCTTATCCACCATGATCAAGTGGGCTTCATCCCTGGGATGCAAGGCTGGTTCAATATATGCAAATCAATAAATGTAATCCAGCATATAAACAGAACCAAAGACAAAAACCACATGATTATCTCAATAGATGCAGAAAAGGCCTTTGACAAAATTCAACAACCCTTCATGCTAAAAACTCTCTATAAATTAGGTATTGATGGGACGTATCTCAAAATAATAAGAGCTATCTATGACAAACCCACAGCCAATATCATGTTGAATGGGCAAAAACTGGAAGCATTCCCTTTGAAAACGGGCACAAGATAGGGATGCCCTCTCTCACCCCTCCTATTCAACATAGTGTTGGAAGTTCTGGCCAGGGCAATTAGGCAGGAGAAGGAAATAAATGGTATTCAATTAGGAAAAGAGGAAGTCAAATTGTCCCTGTTTGCAGATGACATGATTGTATATCTACAAAACCCCATTGTCTCAGCCCAAAATCTCCTTAAGCTGATAAGCAACTTCAGCAAAGTCTCAGGATACAAAATCAATGTACAAAAATCAGAAGCATTCTTATACACCAACAACAGACAAACAGAGAGCCAAATCATGAGTGAACTCCCATTCACAACTGCTACAAAGAGAATAAAATACCTAGGAATCCAACTTACAAGGGATGTGAAGGACCTCTTCAAGGAGAACTACAAACCACTGCTCAAGGAAATAAAAGAGGATACAAACAAATGGAAGAACATTCCATGCTCATGGGTAGGAAGAATTAATATCGTGAAAATGGCCATACTGCCCAAGGTAATTTACAGATTCAATGCCATCCCCATCAAGCTACCAATGACTTTCTTCACAGAATTGGAAAAAACTACGTTAAAGTTCATATGGAACCAAAAAAGAGCCCGCATCGCCGAGTCAATCCTAAGCCAAAAGAACAAAGCTGGAGGCATCTCACTACCTGACTTCAAACTATACTACAAGGCTACAGTAACCAAAACAGCATGGTACTGGTACCAAAACAGAGATATAGATCAATGGAACAGAACAGAGCCCTCAGAAATAACGCCACATATCTACAACTATCTGATCTTTGACAAACCTGAGAAAAACAAGCAATGGGGAAAGGATTCCCTATTTAATAAATGGTGCTGGGAAAACTGGCTAGCCATATGTAGAAAGCTGAAACTGGATCCCTTCCTTACACCTTATACAAAAATCAATTCAAGATGGATTAGAGACTTAAACATTAGACCTAAAACCATAAAAACCCTAGAAGAAAACCTAGGCATTACCATTCAGGACATAGGCGTGGGCAAGGACTTCATGTCTAAAACACCAAAAGCAATGGCAACAAAAGCCAAAATTGACAAAAGGGATCCAATTAAACTAAAGAGCTTCTGCACAGCAAAAGAAACTACCATCAGAGTGAACAGGCAACCTACAAAATGGGAGAAAATTTTCGCAACCTACTCATCTGACAAAGGGCTAATATCCAGAATCTACAATGAACTCAAACAAATTTACAAGAAAAAAACAAACAACCTCATCAAAAAGTGGGTGAAGGACATGAACAGACACTTCTCAAAAGAAGACATTTATGCAGCCAAAAAACACATGAAAAAACGTTCCCCATCACTGGCCATCAGAGAAATGCAAATCAAAACTACAATGAGATACCATCTCACACCAGTTAGAATGGCAATCATTAAAAAGTCAGGAAACAAAACGTTCTGGAGAGGATGTGGAGAAATAGGAACACTTTTACACTGTTGGTGGGACTGTAAACTAGTTCAACCATTGTGGAAGTCAGTGTGCCGATTCCTCAGGGATCTAGAACTAGAAATACCATTTGACCCAGCCATCCCATTACTGGGTATATACCCAAAGGACTATAAATCATGCTGCTATAAAGACACATGCACACATATGTTTATTGCGGCATTATTCACAATAGCAAAGACTTGGAAGCAACCCAAATGTCCAACAATGATAGACTGGATTAAGAAAAGGTGGCACATATACACCATGGAATACTATGCAGCCATAAAAAAGGATGAGTTCATGTCCTTTGTAGGGACATGGATGAAATTGGAAATCATCATTCTCAGTAAACTATCGCAGGAACAGAAAACCAAACAGTGCATATTCTCACTCATAGGTGGGAATTGAACAATGAGAACACATGGACACAGGAAGGGGAACATCACACTCTGGGGACTGTTGTGGGGTTGGGGGAGCGGGGAGGTATAGCACTGGGAGATATACCTAATGCTAGATGACGAGTCAGTGGGTGCAGCGCACCAGCATGTCACATGTATACATATGTAACTAACCTGCACATTGTGCACATGTACCCTAAAACTTAAAGTATAATAATAATAATAAATAAAAATAAATTAAAAAAAAAAAAATTGGTGAATTCCTGACAATGAAAGCCACTTTGAATGTTGTCTAGGAGATGAATTCTCCTGACATCATCTTTATTTCACTAGATATGTATTGTCAAATGTCTATAATCTTTACCTTTGCAATGACAACAAATGAGAAAATACTGCTCATACTAACATTAGGTAGTCTCTGATTTTCTGTTGTATTTACTGAATATTAATATTTGTTAGTTGATATATATTATTGATATTTAATGTCCATTTGTTAATATCCATTAATTAATCATTATCCATTCATTAATCATTAGAATACATACATAGATGCACATGTATGAATAAAAATGACCAAGGGAAGTAATATTTTCATTATAGGCCATTTCTCAGAAGAAAGACATTTTCCTCTTTTGAGACATACAAAAAATACATTTTTAAATAGACTGGCCAAGCATGGTGGCCCAGCACTTTGGGAGGCCCAGGCAAGTGCATCACTTGAGGTCAGGAGTTCGAAACCCCATCTCTACTGAAAATACAAAAATTAGCTGGGTGTGGTGGTGCACACCTGTAATCCCAGCTACTCAGCTGAGGCAGGAGAATTGCTTGAACCAGGTAGGTGGAGGTTGCAGTGAACCAAGATCACGCCACTGCACTCCAGCTCGGGCAACAGAGGGGACTCCATCTCAACAACAACAACAACAACAACAACAACAACAACAACAAATTTAGATAAATCTCTTATTGTCTTCAAATGTTCAAAATTCACCTAAGTCTTTAATTTTAGCTTATATATAAATTTAAGACATTTATATTTATTTGAGAGTCCTCTGGGTTAATGTAAATATAAGGTGGATATATTGATATGAAGGTCTTTAATGTACTGCCAGCAGCATTTGGCTTCAAAGGTAATTCTCATTGATGCTTTGGAATTATCAAATTAGGAATAGGATTCCTTTTTAAACTTCTGCTATATGTCCTAGAAATAAAAACTTGAAACCTTCAAATCTCCTTTAGACAACTATAGTACTGATCAGGTTCCACTCTGCTAGGCTATTTTAGGAAGATGTGGTCTATAGCTAACTCGTCAGATCTGAACTTCTATGCATAATTTATTTGACAACAAAGATTTTGATGTTTTATCAATTATATCTCCATCTTTTAGGATTTACCTCACAATGCACAGGACAAAGAACAGCTAACTCAGGCACATGAACATATGCATGGTTTAGCAGCATTTATCAAAAGGACTTAGCATGCGACCTATGAAGAACATTTTTGTCTAGCTGGCTCCCAGTCCCTTCTTACTCATTCAACTTCACATCAGCCTTTCTCCTTGATTGCTGGATTTACCTTTTATATCCCAATTCAAAATACTCCTGGAGTTTGGATATGTTATTCCCTATAGCTTAGCCCTACAGCTTACCTGGATTCTGCTTCTAAGTTGTTGACAAAGCTGGATGCTGATCGTATTCAAGTACTACAGGTACTAGAAAACAAGCAAACCCAATATATTAGTTTGTCTGCAGGGATAGCATTTTGAGATACTAAAGCAATGTGATATAATCATATTGTAATATTTGTGCATTATAGATGTTTGTTTTTAAAGTGCAATCATAATTTTAACACAAAAGATATTCAGTGGCAGTAATGCTAATTTTAATATTTTCACATGTAAAATAAAAATTGTTATAAACAGTGATTTATATATTCCAAATAAAAATTCTTATAAAATAAATGACTTTAAACCTTTTTATAGTTTGACATTTGGTGAAAAGATGTAAACATATTTGACCTATACTTCTGTAGTAGCACTGATGTTCACTGATTCCTGTATATTTTTTACTTAATATACAGGAATTATTAAAACATATTTAATTAGAAGATTTTATGACATCCAAGAATGATGGAGATATTAATTATTTTGGTGTCATTGAGTAACATATTACATGCTGGTCATACTCATCAGACTATTTAATATTTACAAAATAATGCAAAATGCAGCTGAAGAAAACATATTAAAATGACACATTTTAAATTAATTATGAGAACTCATTTGTGATATTTTACTTCCATCAGAATATAACAATATAATCATGACATTTAGGAACATTGATGTATTGTCACTAAAGCCTAACCTACATTTAGAGAAATAGTTATTTTTAAAGTACTTCCAAAATCTGTACAAACAGGCAATTTGGAAAAAAAAAGTAAACCCTTTTGAGAAAGCAAAAACTCCAAAAAAAATTACAATGGTCTTCAAAAAAATTCACAGCACTTAAAGAGGCTATAATTTTGAAAACACTTAGAATATTTGAGAAAGTCATTGAAAGAAGACAAAAGAATTCTCAACATCTACTGGATCAAGAGTCAATAAAGCATTAGGAAATCCAGCTTTATTGTAGTCCGTTTCCCACTAACAAAGCAATTTGTAGGCTGGAAATGATTTGTAGTGCATTGGCTGCCTAAACAAATTGCAGAGGCAATAATCCAAGGTTCACATTTGAAGATATTGGCACTTTTTCTGAAGTTAAATGCAGTGAAGCCTATTACATTTGTGTCTTATTAACCAGCGTCAAATAGGGCTATGAAGCACTTTGTTCTCACTTTACAGAAAGTCCTAGAGACATTATTTTGCTGCTAAAAGATTTGTCTATTCCACATTGTTTGGTAAATTTCCATTTTCTACAATGAATAAAATAAATAGGATTTTGAAGTGTGCATAAAATGAAAGAAAACAATTGCATAGTGCTTTATTTCTTTAATCAGACAATGAAAAATGGCTTAAAACCTAAATGTTACATACCTATATCACCCCAGGGATTTGAGGATTTAAAGTGGACAATTGGGATTAAAATTAGAACTGAACTAATTTTAGATAATGAATTTGCTTTTAATATCGGTAAACAAATTTTAAAAATGAAGTAGTATTACTCCTATGGTTGTCTATAAAATGATGTAGAAATAATAATATCTTTAGAATTTTGCAATTTTAAAGGGCATATTTAATTGATTCCTATAAATCAAGATTAAAAAGCACTCATTTTATTGCCCACGAAACATAAAACCTCATTGGAAAACTTGCTATTAATTCCTAGGAAAACTAAAGAAATAACATAGATGTCATAAACTGAAGTTTAGAGAACAAAAACTTCCTTTTATTAGTTGTTTTAGGCTTCATGGAGGTACCAGTAACGTGTTGTAGGTATCTTAGTAAGTTTTCCTTGCTACAGAGACATATGGATTATTCAAGAGATGAATTTTGAGATCAGAATTACCTGGCAGAAACTTTAAATCCAACATCTTCTTGAATATAACATATAAAAATTATTCACTTTTTCTGAATCTCAGAAATTCTTATGGGATAAATAGCCCTAATCCTTGCTTTAGAGAGCTACTGAGAGTGTTGAGATATAAAGTATTACATCTGATGCTACATTGTAACTTTTCTCCACAGAAGGTATTCAGGGACATCTTTTTCTCTTTCTGTGCACTATGTTGAGTCTTAACTAGTGCTCTTTCCAAAGCATCTCAAATTTGGGAGCCATCCTGTATGCATTTTTTTAGCCCTAATAATAATGTAGACATTTTCATTAATTATACATTGAATGAACAAGTAAATGGATGCATTGAATGAATGAGTGTTTAAAATGAAGGCACTTAGATCTTTATAATAAAATATAAAAGATCTTAGAAGTAATTGGTGTAGTAATTATTACACTTATCTTTGCCTCCCATGACTCTCATTAATCCTTCTAACAATAACAACAATGAAAAAATACAACTGGTATCTGATATGACAAAAAGTACATTTTGTGTTGAATACATTTATATTTCTATAGGCATCCAAATAATGCTTACTAACTTTACAAAAAATACTGATATCCATTCTACATTATTTCTTTTGTTCAAAAAATACGAAGACAGCTAAGCCAAGTTCTCCTCATTTAGCAGCTGAAGCTTTTATGATCAAGAGAATTTAATTCCTTTTCCTTTGTTCAGACAGGTAATTAATGGCAGAGCCAGAGACTTGTCCCCAGCCTCTTGGAACGTAATCCTTCGTTGCATTATTCTTTAGAGTACTCTAGTTCCCTATTTGGACCTTTCTTCTCAGTAACAGCAAATACAAAGATGAAGAATGAATGGATTTGGGTGCACTGATTGTCAAAGCTTTAGTGAATAACCCAAGTGTTCAAAGCTTTCAGAACTGTTCTGGTGAACGAACATTCTCTGAAAGTTAATGACATGTTATTTTGTTTCCTTATAAATTATTGAAATGCCAGTGTACAACACTCAAGAGCTTAGACACAAAGGCATTATGTAGACATAGCTATAATAAGACAACACAATTTTAACTAAGAAGGCTTAGTGTGCCCAGTTTAAAAAAGAAAAAGTAGTGTTGTCGAGTTTTTATTTTTAAAATTCTAGATATTATGAAAGCAAAAAAGAAACAATGTTAGAAAAACATAAAAAATAAAATTACTACTACTTTATAAGTAAAAGCTGTTTCAGAGACCAAATGGCAAAAAAAAGAAACTTTGATAGAATTTGCATTATTTATTGCATAATAAAAAGGCAATATTTATGTATTCAAAGAGTTCACTATTTAGAGATGAGAATAAGTATGTGACAGTCTTTAACATATTTGTCAGAGATTGCTATGTGTTTGTTAATGATATGAAGTGTTTTGTAAACATTACTGCCTTTAATCATTACAACAACCCAAATAAGTAGCTGCCATTATTTTCAAAGAATCTGACAAATTGAGAGGTCAAGTAAGTTGTCCAAGTACCTTAGATAATCTCTGACTTTGGTAAGGTTCAAAGTGGTTAGTTTGACTTCGGAGTGGTAGTATCTAATCATTCATGCTCAACTGCCTCTGAACCACTATGCTATCCTCTGGTAAGCTATAAAACAATCATGATAGAAACTATGATATAACACAAACACAAATAAAATAATAAAGGGATGCAGGAAAGCATCAGCTCTTTCCAACTGGCCATAGTGATAGCTCAACAAAAGTAGTGGCACTTATAATTGGCTTAGAAAATCCACATGCAGGAAAGAGAGAGAGAAAACAAATCTTGCATGAACAAATGCATGAGGAAAAATTATTCATAAAATGCCTCCATCTACATGGTAACAACAGAAATATCTTGCTAAACATCATTTTCTAAACTTAACATTTAGATATATTACTTGCTATTTTTTCTATAACCTACATGATTCAATATAACTACCTAAGTATTCCTTTATATACTCATCACAGACACTGAGACTTATATGTTCCAAGTTGTATTCCTAAGTGAGTAGGAAACAGAAATCAAAGATGCAATTCTTACCCACATAAAGTTTAAAGTTTTGTGGGGGATGCAGACAAATAAAACTGTATATGTAATTTATTTGTGATTTGGTAGAAGTCAGTCCAGGATTTTTGAAAGTTTAGAAGAATTAACACAAACGCACCAAAGGATCAGGGAAATATTCGTGGAGAAAAAGATCCTGAAGCAAATACTGAAAGAAAACTAGGAGTAAGACAGTCAGCTTTTTCTAAATTTCAACTTTCAGTTTAGATATAGGGGGTACACGTGCAGTTTTTTTCCATGGGAATATTGCCTTGTGCTGAGGTTTGGGGTATGGATCTTGTTACTCAGGTAGTGAACATAGTACCCAATAGGAACTTTTTCAACCTACACCCCCTCCCTCCCACCTCTAGTAGACCACTGTGTCTATTATTATCATGTTTATGCCCAAATGTGCTCAAAATTTAGCTCTCACTTATAAGTGAGAGATGTAGTATTTGCTTTTCTGCTCCCGTGTTAGTTCGCTTAGGATTATGGTCTCCAACTGCACCCATGTTGCTGCAAAAAACATGATTTCATTATTTTCTATGGCTGCATAGTATTCCATGGCGTGTGTGTGTGTATGTGTGTATATATGTGTATATACATATATATATATAACATGTATATATGTGTATATACATATATATATATATAACATGTATATATAACATTTTCTTTATCTAATCTACCACTGATAAGGATCTGGGTTGATTCCAAGTCTTTGATATTGTGAATAGTGCAGCAATGAACATAAAAGTGCATGTGTCTTTTTGGTAGAATGATTTATTTTCTTTTGGGTATACATTCAGTAATGAGATTGTTGGCTTGAATGATAGCTGTTTTAAGTTCCTTGAGAAATCTCCAGACTGATTTCCACAGTGGTTAACTTACATTACCAACAACAGAGTATAACAGTTCTCCTTTCTCCACAGCTTTGCCAGGATGTGATGATTTTTTGACTTTTTAATATTAGCCACTCTGAATGGTGTGAGATAGTATCTCATTGTGGTTTTGAGTTGCGTCTCTCTGATGATTATTGATGCTGAAAATATTTTCATATGTTTGTTGGCCACTTGTATGTCTTTTTCTGAGAAGTGTCTGTTCATGTCATTTACCCATTTTTTAATGGGGTTATTTGATTTTACTTGTCAAGTGGTTTCAGTTTCTTATAGATTCTGGATATTAGACATGTACTGGATGCAGAGTTTGTGAATATCTTCTCCCATCCTGTAGGTTTTCTGTTTACTCTGTTCATAGCTTCTTTTCCTGAGCAGAAGTTCTTTAGTTTAATTACATTCCACTTTTCTACTTTAGTTTTGATTGCAAATGCTTTTGGAGACTTAGCCAAAATTTCTTTGCCAAGGCTAATTCATGTGGTTTGACTCAGTGTCTCTACCCAAATCTCATCTCAAATTGTAATCCCCATATGTTGAGGGAGGGACCTGGTGGGGCGTGATTGGATCAGGGGGGTGAATTCCCCCATGCTGTTCTCCTGATAGTGAGGGAGATCTCAGGAGATCTGATGGTTTTAAAAGTGGCAGTTTTTCCTGAGTATTCTCTCTCCTGCAGCCTTCTGAAAAAGGTGCCTGCTTCCTCTTCACCTTTTGCCATGATTGCAAATTTCCTGAGGCCTCCCAAGCTATGCAGAACTGTGAGTCAATTAAACCTCTTTCCTTTATAAATTATCCAGTCTCAGGTAGTTTCTTTATAGTAGTGTGAAAACAGACTAATGCATTGATGTCAAAAAGAATAATTCTTAGGTTGTCCTCTACAATTTTTATAGTTTGAGATCTTCCATTTAAATCTTTCGTGGCTTTGGATTATTTTTTGTTTATGCTGAAAGGTAGGGTCCAGGTTTAATCTTCTGCATATGGCTAGCCAGCTATCCCAGCATCATTTATTGAAAAGAGAGTCCCTTCCCCATTGCTTTTTTGTTGGCCTTGTCAAAAATCAGATGGCTTTATTTTTGAGCTTTTTTATTCTGTTAATTGGCCTATGTATCTGTTTTTGTACCAGTACCACGCTGTTTTCTTTACCGTAGCCCCTTTTCCAGGCACCCTTTGGGCCCTGGAACCAGCTCTAGTGTTCAATTATCCCATGCAGAGTTCTCAGCTTCATCCCGCTTCAGCTTCAGCATGTGAGTCTTTTCCATGCCCACATTTGGCATTTTCTCTCCGAAGTTATGTTCAAATTATGTTGGTTTAATCTAAATCTCAGTGTGTTTCGGTGGGAGCAGCACTTCCTAGCGGCACTAGTCAGCCATCTTGAAACTCTACCAGCTTTTTAAAAAGTAAGAACATTGTAAGTGAAGGGAGCAAATATGAAGAGTTAAGGAAGACAGAGATCATCATCATTTTCCAAACCATATGATCACTTGAAACATTCCAAGTTCTACCTGTTTGTGACACAAAGATTTCACAGAATATAGCATCAAGTTCTACTAATAATTGAGCCTTTCACTTGCTAATTCTTCTTATTTACAACCTATAGTGAGACATGAGTTCTGCAAGAAATATCAACATGGCTCATGAGTGACTGCCACAGTCCATTTTAAATGTTGTATTTAAATGCTACATGCTAACGTAGTACAGATTTTGTTGTTACTATTTTAATATTACTTGTTACATTCCATCATTTTCCAACAAAAGGATCTACATTGTTGCATGATGGTTGATATTATCATCCTGCCTGTAAAGTGGTGTTGAATTCACACACTCAACAATAAGTAACGAGGCCTTTCCGTTGAGAGTCCCAAGGTTCTAGGAACATAGCTTTGTTATCATACAACATATGTTCTAGTCCAGAATGTGTCAGGAATTAAGCTCTTGTCACTCCAAAATTTTACCTTTAGATTTTCCTTTTTTATGCTTGGGCTAAGATTCTTCAAATCACTCTTTTTTTTCTTTTTCAGCTACTTCTGATATTTTCATTCAAGTGAGTGCACTATAGGAAGCTAAGAGGGAACACAGGTAATTTTTCTTTCTTCTTTGATTATTATTCCATTGAGTGCCACTGTATTATTGACTCTTCACCCTGCAAGCAGCATTTGGTTCTATTTTCCAGCATCTTTTAGCACTCAAAACCAACTTTGTTATACTTTCTCAGAACTATCATTACCATCCAGACCTTAGACCCTGCTCAGAGCCCAGTTCTAAGCTCAGAGCTCCTCCTTCTTTTTTTTTTTTTTTTTTTTTTTTTTGATATGGGGGTATCACTCTGTCACCCAGGTTGGAGTGCAGTGGCACAATCATGGCTCACTCCAACCTTTGCCTCCCAGGCTAGAGCTATCCTCCCACCTCAGCCTCCTGAGTAGCTGGGACCACAAGGTGTTCGCCACCATACCCGGCTACATTTTGTATTTTTTGTAGAAATGGGTTTCACCATGTTGCCCAGGCTGATCTTGAACTCCTGGGCTCAAGGGATCTGCCAACCTCAGCCTCCCAAAGTGCTGGGATTACAGGCGTGAGCCACTGTGCCCAGCCAGGACCCCTTCTTAGCTTTTGATGTACCAGCAAAACCAGAAAGCATGCCCTCCTCAAGGTATGAACTCAGGATGATAGTATACAACTATAGATCATATAATACCTGTATTTTACTTAAATGTTTTCATTTGTTCTTCCAGACGTCTACCACCTATTCAATATCCTCTTTCCAATTATCTCTATTGAAATACCTAATGTAGTTTCACTTCCCCTGATTTGTCTCTACTTGGCATTAGATACACTACTTAATGATCCCAGAAGTTATTAAAAAAATCTCAAAAATGGTATTATGAAATTTTGATTATGCTTTGTCCTGAAAACTATAATAATCTCTTTGATCATAGGATGCCTTGAATATAAAATGCATTAAATTAAAACCTGTCATTGATTGTGAAACAATGCTTACTAAAAAGCAAATGTCTTTGGAGGCAGGGGGACTAGCTGTTGTATATAACTGTTAAATTTTTAATGATGACTGCAGGATCTATGGGGTGAAATATCTGATTGCAAATGCACTAAAAGGCTTACAGGAAAAAATTACAAGCTTACAGCTTTACATTCTCACATTCTCAGCCCAAACAGTCAGAGAAACAGAGCTTCTATGGCAGACTTAAAATAATCTCTTAACAATCTCTTATTTCTTCTAGCTATAGGACAAGGACCACTGTAAGTCAAACACAAGTGTAATTATATAGGTTGCAGAAGGACAACAAATACTGAGTTCCTCAACTCACCAAGTCTCCTACATGAAGGTTATGACATTGATTTAGAGGCAGTAGGACCCTAAGATTTTAGGAAAAGAGACAGAATCAGATAAGGTTGAGAATACTGAATTCCCATATCTCTGTGAGTTATCTTTGCTAGCAGAAGGAAGTCTGCTATGTCTAAGGAGACCTCTGTCACACAGTATCTAAGGAAACAAGTCTTGCCTTCCTTGAAGACCCTTGTTTACCTCACCATGGGTGGCCAATTAGCAAACGTATGCTTAGTGCTTATTCTTGCTAAAACTGACCTGTTCTTTCATGATATCCTCTAGTCAAATAACTGAATGTATGTACTAGGAAGATAAATACATTACCTGACTCAGGTTAACCTACCAAATGATTTCCAGATTAGTTTACTATATAACCTAAGACACATATGAATGTGTTTAGGAATGAATCTGAATGGGAATAGACCAAGGGGATGGAATAAAACTCTAGAATATGCCACCTTTATATAAGTACACTTACCACATATGAATTTATGATGCTAGCTTGTACAGATGGATTGGCTCTTAAGAGTTGACTTGATTGTTTGCCTGAAACTTGGACATGTTGGTGTCCTACATCCAATAAATTTGGGCTCAGAGAATTAGATATTTTGTAGTGCATTTATCATAAGTTATGTTATGTCACCCACTCATTCACCATATGAGCCCATCACAGCGCTAAGTAATACATTTGTGAGCAGATTGCTAGAATACGGAAAATCTCTGTGGTAATTGTTTTCTGAAGGCTGGATATGATGGAGGAAGATGGTGTCCTTAAGACAAACTTAATGATTGCAATGGCATTAGAGATAGCATCTCACAATGATGATGTTGAATGGCAACACTCAATGTCAAGAGGCAAGGTGGCATAATTTCCCTAATGAGTAGTTAGGACAAATCAGTAAATATATTTGACATTGGAGGTAATGTCATATTTCTTAAAAAATTGCCGAAACTACTGTCACTATCATATACTTGAAAATTCAGTGTTGGTGATTACTATATAACATCTCCATTTAACTCACCTGTTTGGCCTGTGAAGAGGCAGATGGATCTGAGAAAATGAAAGTGAATTTTAGCTGTTTTTCAGAGTTGTGTTTACTAGAAAAAATCTACACAACTATTGATCAAATACATTATTTATTTTTCTCAACATATAAGGTTCAAGAGAAGTCATACTCTCTTGCTTAGCAGGCACAACAGGATACATTTTTAAATTTCATATGGTATTTCAAGGCTATATCAATTCTATATCAACAATCTATCCTGTAGGAATAGTATCAGTATTGACAACATCCCACAGAACGATTTACACTGTTTCACTACATTAATGATGGCTGGTTTGCTGAATATAATACACAGGAAGAATCAATGACCAAAAAAACAAAATCACAGTAAGGAAAATGTAAACCAGAGATTAGAGTCAAACCTCACAGAGCTTAAGGGCCTTGTCACCTCATTAAATTTTTTTTGTACAATATAAAGATAATCATTCCAGTGCCTAAAATGGATTTATACACATTGCGTCATACACCTCAAAAACGATATATTACACATGTTTTATGTAACAAATAAGACTCTCAATGTTGAGGCCAAGAGCAAGGGAAAGCTCTTTAGGAGTCCATTGTGCAATAAAAGCTATGTTGCCATATAAACTTCCTTACAGCAGTTACATTGATATATAAAAGGTATGTGACAAATCTGCTGAAGTCTAATAAGACACAGGAGACTCCTTGTGTTTTGAAGAAACAGCTTTCCCTTTTTCACGGATAATATACTTTTTTATTTCCTTATGAGAAACACTTTCTGACTTGCTATTGGGCCCTATATAAATTTAAAAATTTGATTATAAGACATCAAGAGATCATGTGGCTTGACCAAACTATTTGAGTTGAGTGTTTTTTTTACCAACCAAATTATAAGGCAGGGCATGCCCAGAAGCCATAAATCATCACTGCAGATGATGCATAAGAGATCAAGCTCAGGCAGGTAAATAAAATACAAGTAAATTGAATGAGCAGGTGGCTCAGATTCCTTTGATACCATCTCTTGATGCATTGCCATTCCTTTTCCTATGACCTTTTTTGCACAGTACCTTATAACAAATTGATAGAAGAAGAAATATCTTAGGTCTTTTGTCAATATGATAAATCCGACTTACAAGGGACTACTGCAGCATTAGATGCTCAATCAGAAGTATGTCCTTGAAAGACAAGTGTGAATGAAAATTATCCCAGTGGGCCACACATCAAGCAATCCATTTTGGATTTCTTAGTCTGTTTTGAGAAATAAATAGATGATGATAGACAGATAGATAGATAGATAGATAGATAGATAGATAGATAGATAGATCTGTATTAATTTGAGGCAGTGGCTAATGATTTGGCCGTATAATCAGAAACTTGGAAAATAACTGTATTACAGAATTGAAAAAATGGAAAAAATGAGTTCAGAGGAATATCTGTTTCAGAGAAAACTTTCAATAATCATCTGGACAACATGACCTGCCCTTTGAACATCAGTTAGCCTCTTTCTCCAGCCACCTTGCTTTTGTTTGTTTGTTTGTTTTGAGACAGAGTCTCCTCTGTCGCCCAGGCTGGAGTGTAGTGGTGTGATCTCAGCTCGCTGCAACCTCTGCCTCCCAGGTTCAAGCAATTCTCCTGCCATAGCCTCCCGAGTAGCTGGGACTACAGGTGCTCACTGCCACACCCAGCTAATTTTTTGTATTTTAGTAGAGACGAGGCTTCATCGTGTTGCCCAGGCTGGTTGTGAACTCTCCAGCCACCTTTTTGCTTGAGCAATGGGCTTATTTATGATTAGCCACAAAAGAAGAGATGAAGGCTCTACACAGGCTAAGCAATGTGGAACATCACACAACTCACTTTGCTGTCTTAATTACTGAGTGTCTAGTTTTCCATCATCTAGAACAATGTTGAAGTCCTAATATCACACCTTGGCCAGGGAGGATTTCATGGGATTTCATCTTTGGGGAAGAGTGATGATTTGTCCTCACTAGTTTAGAAAGATACTCTATTTATGAATTGACATTCCTGCACATAATGCTTTTGTTAACACCACTATATATGTACTTGTGATTTCTGTATAAGGGATTTATTCTGTAGCAAATAAGTGTGGAAATAGGCATATGCCATAGAATTCTTTATCATGCCAAGCAGCTTCTCTGATAGAAAGAAGAAATGACTGACTGAAGACTCAGTTATAGTGCTAGTTGAGGAACAATACACTAAAAGTATGATGTTCTGTCTTGAAAGAGGTGATGTATGCTTTAGGTTAACTTTCAACATGAGGGTTATTTATGTTTTTTCATTGTCAGAAAACATAGATCATGTAATCAAGAGTGAAATGAGGAGGATTAAATTACTCTTTCATTAGTTTTCAATTATTGCCCTAACAAGTTATCACAAACTTAATCGTTCACTTAAAACAGCACATATATCTTGTCTCACAGTTCTGTAGGTCAGAACTTTGGTGGGCTTGGTTAATTTCTTTGCTTAGAGTCTACCAAAGCAGAAATTAAAGTTTCAGCAAGTTGCCAATTTTTTTTTTCTGCAGTCTTTGAAGAATAATCCCCCTCTAAGCTAGTCCAGATTGTTGTCTGAATTCAGTTCTGTGAGACTGTAGGACTTTTACCCATCTCCTTGCTGGCTGTCAGCCAGATGTTCTTCCCATCTTCTACAGGCTTTCAACAGATCTTGCCTCATGGCCTTGTGACTTCATCTTCACAAACACCAGTGGTGAATTGTGTTCTTCTTCTTTAAATCTCATTTTACATCCACTCTGCTTCCTCTTTCCTCTGCTACTTCCTCTGCAGCCTCAGTCTCACAGTCTATTGACTCTCCCTGCCTTAATTTTCTGCTTTTAAGAGCTCATGTGATTACACAGTACCCACCTAGATCATCTAGGATAATACCCTTAACCTGAAGGCAGGTTATGAATAGCCTTACCTTCAATGTCAAACTCCCTTCAAAGAAGTAACTAGATTAATGTTTGTTGAATAACCAGGGGATGGAAATTGTAGTGGGAGTAGTAAATACATGTAGAATTCTGCCTATTATACTATTGCACCTAATAATCCATCTAGAAATATTTTTCACTTCTATACCAAAAATGTTAGGTTCTGCTTTTTTCTATTAGGGCACAGAAAAATGATTGAATTGGAGGTTGAGGTCATCACCTGGCCATTTCAATCCCCTCACTCCACTGAACTGACAAAGAATAAATTGGTTATGTTCTGACGTGATTTATTATGATACTTACGAGATAGGTGTGTTGCTGGCATACATTGGTGACAGGGAGGAGTATGCTTAAAATCCACAGTGATTAAGTACTAGTCACTTAGTACTTCATGTCTAATAGCAAATGTTAACGGAAACAACTCTTAAAGGTCATATTACTCAAATATTACAGCTTTTAGAAATAATTTTGAGTAAACTCCTGAGGTAAAAACACAATCTGCTGAGAAAAAGTAATTGGTAATTGAACAGAGAAGTTAAAATATCAACTATAGACTCATTATTGGAGGAAAAAATATTGTAACAGATATGCATAATCTCTTCTTTATTTTTTATACACAAACACATGCACACAAGTGGATATATTATTCAATTTCTGTTTCCTGCCTCTTGTTTTCATTATTGTACAAAAGAGAAATTGTTCATCAGTGGTTAACTTTACACATAACCTTCAGATTCATATGGTGATCATAACACAACTAGTGGACTAATTATAATAATTCAGAAATAGATATCCTCATATTTGCTTAGAGTTAGAAAAAATAGAGTACCTGGTGTTCTGTTTTGAAGAGAGAGTAATGAAAATAGTTGAATTTTTGTAAGCAAAAGGAAAACATTACAATTGTTATTATATTGTAATTCACTATGGCAAGTGTTTGAATAGATACAGGCTAACCAAAGGAAAGGTGTACGCTGATAATCAACCTATTGTCTTCCTCGTCTCAATTCACCATTCTATTCTCTGCTCTGTGGTGCTGGGACTGAGGATCCACATACAATATTTATCTTTTATCTACTGTATTTTAAACAGAAAGTCTTGACAGAAGGGGTTACCAGAGATTGATTATGAATGAGGAATAATGAAGACTGGGCTTTCTCATTTTTTGTTGTTTGTTTTGCTTTGCTACTTTTTTTTCCCATTAATGTTAATATTAGAGTCATTCAAAAAAGGGCTACATGTTGCAGTGTATGCTTTACTCTCCCGTTCCTTTAGCATTGCTCAGACAGCATCCCATGCTTAGCAGTCTGAGGCTCAGTTCCATGAACCAAAAGTTCTACCACTATCCAGTCAGTGTCTTCTCAGAAGTTTGAGCCTACCTTTGCAAGGCTCATCATTTCTCAGGTTCTGGTAATCCCTATATTTTCCATTTTTCCCCTCAGCTATGTGAGTTAAGAGCTGATGCCTACAGTCACAATGCCTTTGTTGCTTCAGGGTTGCCTTTTTGCCTTCCCAACACTTTTCAAGGTAATTTTCTGTATTAAATTCCCTGTGAAAACACCTACTATGGTTTCTGTTTTTACGAAAGTATTCCCTGAGATAGAGGGAAACAAAAAAATAAGCAAAATGATACAAATATAAATGAATGGGATTAGATAGAGTGAATCAGAAAGAGTCAACTGAGAGAGAGAGAGAGAAAGAGAGAGAGGGAGAGAGGGAAACAGGGAGAGAGAAGGAAGGAAGGAAAGAAAGAAGGGAGGGAAAGAGAAAGAAAGAAAGAGAGAAAGAAAGAAACAAACAAAGAAACAAAGAAACAAAGAAAGAAAGAGAAAGAAAGAAAGAAATGCATTTAATATAGTGGAATTATGAGAGAATAAAACAGGAAAATTGGATGGCAGTTGAATGGAGTAAATAGTGGCATTTCGTATCAGATCATTTGTGAAAGGCTGAAAATGGGAAGCTTTAGAGTATATAGCTTACAAATGAAAATAATTTAGGAATAAGAAAGCAAGGAGAAGAATTGTTTTCAGAGAGGGAGCAATATGTGTAAAGCAATCTAGGCAAGAATACAATTGGCATTTTAAAAGGGTTTGGGCAGTCACAGGAAAAAGAAATCGATAAAGTAAAACAATGTAGAGGATAAATTCGAAGAAGTATGTAGGGGGTAGCTCATCAGATCATACTAGGAGTCTATCATTTTTTTAAAAATCTAAATTTTGGGAAAGAGGGAGACACATGAAAGCCAAAAGAGGTTTTAAATTAAAAACAACTTAATGTAAAATAGAATGTTTGTTCCAAATATAATGAAAATGCAGAAAATGTATACTAATTTCACTTTAAAAATTATGATTATTATCTACTCTGACATGATATTATTATCCATATCAGTCAGCTATTTAATTCAACATCACCCAAAACCAACAAATATAAAATATAATTTAAGAGAAGAGACTGTTTTTCAAATACATTTATGCTTTGCAAAATAAATGCTTAAGAATTGTGTGTCAGGCTTAATTTCATCATTTAACATTCAGGATTGAAATTCATACCTAGAATTTGTAAGTGCATTTAACGCCAGAAAGAAAGATAAATATGATCCCTAGTTATTTAATAAGGGACTTGAATAACAGTAAAGAAAAATACTAACATAACTCAAAACTCATGTTCCCTGCTGTCTAGATCATGCCTCTAACCACAAATCTAGTAACAAGGAAATATAATCTACTTGCTTATGACAGAAATGCTTGAACAAGTAATGTCTGTTTCAGTAGGGGACAGAATATCCTGGGTGCAATACTTATAATGTTATGGTGATTTTATCATCAGTTTAGTAAAGACATATTATTTTCAACATGTGGCATAACATACTGTTAGTCACACTGGAGAACAGAATCAGCACCAGGATTTGTGCTCTGGGAGAGCTGTTACAGAAATGCTTAATGCCCCATTCCAAGTTTTGAGCCCTAAACGTTGAAATCCAGGTAGCTGATTTAAAGCATATGACAAAAAATGTGGAATGTTCCTAAGGTATTGGACCATAATTGAAGTAGTGTCTGATTTTTTATTTGCAAGGTTTGCAATTCTTAGAGATACACTTTTTTTTTTTTTTTTTTTTTTTTTTGCTTAAATGTAACAAGGCTGAAACACATTTCTTAGTGGGACAAGGGGACTTAATAATGAAAGAGAACTTTTGAAGAATTAAGAAATTGGTAAATGTTTTTCCCAAGACAAGAAGAACAAAAAATGGTAGAAAAAAACATGGAGGCTTTTAGCAAAAGTAATTAAGTTTCTACCAATATAGATGCTGTGAAAACAATTTATTCTGTCTAGTTTAATTTTGCAGCGCATATTGTTCCATGCAGTTTTGCGGTGTATATGATATATATGGTTAGTTGTATCAGTTGCAAACATCGCATTTTTGAGTAATAAAAATGAAAAATGAAAATATTATAGATTTATCATCCACTAATGACATAAGCAGCAGCAAAGGTGGGGGGGCCAACATTTTAACTGTAAGAGAGACAAAAAATTTCTACCTGTTTTAAAACGTATGAACGGAGGTTATCGTCTTGGAAAGACAACAGAGAGAGGGAGAGAGAAGGAAGGAAGGAGGAAGGAAGGAAGGAAGGAAGGAAGGAAGGAAGGAAATAAACGAGAAATGCACTGAAAGTTGTATGCTTACATATAAGAAACTGAATGGCATTTTAATGGCTATGATTTTTTTTCCAATATGAAAGTTACATAAATAATCACTATAACATTGGATATATTGTTGTACAGTACATTAAGTACATAAATCTTAATTGATCTATAAGATAATTACTTTTGGTCCATCAGTCAGATCATGTTATGGATGATAAAAATGAAGAATACATAACAAACTGTATCTCCCAAAAATAATTTTTCTGGGAAACAATAAAAGACACTTTTACCAGGCAGAAAATAATTTAGTCTTCATATAAAAATGTCTTATGTGTATTACTTTATACTTAATATAAATTGATTCAACTTTCTAGTCACATGTAAATTTCTGCTAACAGTTAAATAACAGCAGTTTATGTTTTTTACACCATTTAACAACTTATAATGTGCTAAACTAAATTTAATTTATGTTTCTCAACATGTTTTGAGCCCCTAAATTGTATATGTGTTATGCTAGGCATAAAGATACAAAGATAAATCATTATCCTTAAGTTTCTCACATCCAGTAAGTGAGAATCCTAAAAAATGCAATTATGAGATAAAACAAGAATTCAGAAAATAAAAGTATAAAAAGCACCTCATGAGCATAAAGAAATTTAGCTCTCTCTGATTGTAGAACACCCATTTTCTGTTCTTGTTTTTTTTAATCTGTTGAATTGTTTATCAAAAAGGTGGTAAGTTAAAAAAAGTTATGTGCTAAGTGAGAAAAAAGTTCCAGATATGCATAATTCAACTTATATAAGATCTATATATTTACTATATGTGTTTGTTTTTCAGGCATCTGTAATTACAAAAATTTTACAGAAGTCACCTCTCATGCTCCCATCTGTTTCTAACACTGGACATACTGATTCTCAGAAGGGCTCTAGAGCTACACTGGAGTAGATCTTGATTAATCTAAGTCCAGGCAAGGAGAGATAACACCATATTAATTATTTTAAGAGGGAGATATATTAGAAGAAATTGATTAAGTAGACATTGAAAGACTACAAAAAAGTAAAAGTAAAAATCAAAATGGTAGAAATACTAACTACGGGGAGCAGCTGTACCCATGCTGTTGGGGAAATAAAGAGGACTGGCTGCACTTGGCACAAGCTGGAAGCTTGGAAGAGGAGCCGCAGATCTGCAGCCTGGGCTCTTCAGGAAGATTTTGCCCGCTTGTGTTGGTATTCAGAGAGGGTGCCATGAAGCTCATTCTGGGGATTTGAGAACAAGCTGGAAACCAGAACCAATGGCTGCTTGCAAAGTGACTAAGAACAGCATTAAAAACAAAAGGAGCAATTCCCTTCATCCATCTTTCACCTGGCAGCCTCCCTGTAATACCCACTATTGTCAAAACCAAACCTAATAGAAAAATCAACTGGTCACAAAGAAATGTACTTTGAAGTGTTCCAGTTCTACAGTGAAAGTGGAAAGAAAAGCGGGTTTAGATCTAATCAAGAGAAAAATTTTAATAACTCACTAAAAGTCTGTAAATACTCTGTAAAAATCTTTCACCTGTCATGTGAATCTCTCCACCAATTAGAAAAGTTAACTTGGAAATTTTGTGATTTCTACTACTCATCAAAGAAGGAAATTATTGGTGGGCTACGAAGTAACTAAAAGAACTGTTAATAGTCTTTAAATATTTATTGACTAAATATTTACATAGTGTTCATTATTTAAACAACACGACAAAAGATGTTGAAAATTACATTAATATAGAGGTAGCCTTTATAATATTAATATCTATAATTTTTCAGGGAATATAATAAGTCTCACAAGATAGCAGAGAGCTGTTGCTTACCTGAATTAAAATAAGTCTTGCAATAAACTAATTTGGATTATACTTACAGTAATGTTTATTGCTGCTGTTTTGTTTATTGCTGCTGTTTGTTGTTGTTTTTTAATCCTAGTTTTCCTGGATTAATTGTACTGTCAGTTGCCAACACTTTTCACCTAAAATAAGACCTGAAGACTTGAATCATTTAATGCATATGTTCTCCTTATTTGTAGAGCATAATAGGGCAAGAAACTTTAAAAGTAAAAAAAGGCCGGGCACGGTGGCTCACGCCTGTAATCCCAACACTTTGGGAGGCCGAGGCGGGCGGATCATGAGGTCAGGAGATCGAGACCACCATGGCTAACACGGTGAAACCCCGTCTCTACTAAAAATACAAAAAAAAGTAGCCGGACTTGGTGTGGTGGGCACCTGTAGTCCCAGCTACTCCAGAGGCTGAGGCAGGAGAATGGCGTGAACCTGGGAAGGCGGAGCTTGCAGTGAGCGGAGATCGCGACACTGCACTCCAGCCTGGGCGACAGAGCGAGACTCCGTCTCAAAAAAAAAAAAAAAAGATAAAAAGAATAACTTATCTATTACAACTTTATCAAATAGACTGCTTGATAAGCAATAGATTTCAGGGATAGATTTTGTAAAAAGAGCAACTAAAAGAATTTTTACAAGTATTTTATATGTCATGTGGATCTCTCCACCAGTAAGGAAAGTTGACTTGGAATTTTTGTGATTTTCTCTACTCAGAAGAAAATTATGTATGGGCTATGAAGTAACTGGAAGGACTGTTAATTGAAAACAAAATGGCATTTTCGAAAATATTAGAAGAATTAGGAATTGATTTTCAGTGTTCTAGACTATTTACTAAACTTAAGGCTGCGGATTTTTCTTAACATTTTTGTCATAGATTGGAGAGCTTTGGATTTCTGGGTGTCAAAAAAAATACAGGATATTCCTAATAAAAGTAAAATATATAGATTAAATTCTTTCTTTCCCTTAAATGCCTAATATTGTTAGTGTGACAAAATATTTAATGTTCCTCTCAATATCTAGAATATCAACTGCTCAGATTTGGTCAAGAATGTACTTTGACTTTTTTTTTCTTTACTAATATTTGGTAAATGTAGTGCTTAAAGTAATGAAAGTTAGAATGATAAATTTTCTTTTTAAAAAGACATATCAATTAGCTATTAGATGGCTCTCACTAGAGAAGAAAAAAAAGACCTATGGCTACAATTTCTTTAGTATTCCCCTCCTTTGATGGTTAGTTTTATTTGTCAACTTGGCTAGGCCATAGAACCCAAATATTTGGTCAAACATTATTCTGCATATTTCTGTAACAGTGCTTTTATATGAGATTTATGTTTAAGTTGGTAGACTTTGAGTAAAGCTGATTTTCTTCAATAATATGGGTGACCCTCATTCAATCATTTAAATTTTTGAATAGAGCAAAAGACTGACCTTCCCTAAACAAGAAGGAATTTTTCACTTTCTCTGCAACACTAGCTTTTCCTGATTCTCCATCAGACTGTCTTTGGACTTGAACTACAACTCTTTTCTGAATCTCCAGTTGGCCAGCCTCCCCGATCAGATTTTGGACTTACCAAACCCCCACAGTCCTGTGAATCAGATTTCTTGAAGTCATTGTCTTCTCTTTTTGTCTCTCCCTCTCCATATTGATGCACACACCTGTTGGTTCTGTTTATCTGGAGAACCCTGACTAATACAGTTCTAATGAATGATTCCATTTATTTTCTAATTTACCAAGACTAGGGGAAAATCTTAGGCTTTTTTATTTTCTCAATTTTTAACAATCCAATCAATTCCAAAATTGTGTAATTTTTAATATCTCCTGAAAATTATTACAAATAATTTATTTCTCTATATCTACTCTACATTTATCATGTATTCTCATAATTCCCAACATTGACATGTGACCTTTCCCTTGTCTAAAATGTGTTTTCAACCTTATTTTACTGATTTTCTGCTATTTGTTCTTCAAGTTTCATGGCAGACATGAATTTCTTAGGAAAGCATCTCCTGATAATCAACAGAGTAAATGATGCTCCTTTATCATCTTTTTTGCCATTCTCCTAATATCTCCACTTTTGCTTGACTGGTAACTTATCTGTGCTTTGGCTCTTTTGTAAGCTGTTAAAAGGATGGAATTCTGCCATGCATCTCCGAACCTTCAAGTTTAACTGGTGTCTGTGACAAAGCACATACTTCTGCATAGGCTGTTTAATGATGGTGGGGAAAGAAATATGGGATATTACATAGATGGATGATAAAGAACATCTAAGTTATTTAGGTATTATTTGAATTGAAACTCTGTGAAGATTTGAATTGTACAGTAGTGAACAGTGTGTTAATATGAGCCCTGTTTTATAGATTCCAATCCCAGCTCCAACATTAACTGTTGATTGTACTCCCTATGTCTCTATTCTCTTCATTGTATGGTAGGTATCATAGTAGTAGGGAACATGTTTTGCAACTCTTAAACTTGAAAATTTATCTATGGTAATTTTTCAAAGTATATCATATACTAAGATTAAGCAAAATGTATTAAATATGAGCATTGTTATAAAGGTCTTTGACCTTTTCTGGGTGCGTTTCACAGTAAATATGATACAAAATTGAGTGTAGCTGTCTTACTAATGTAGCTATACTTCTGACTCCCTGCATCTATTTGTATCTCTCTATTGTTAGCTTTCTTAGATACACAGTTTTTCTCCAACCCATCATAATATCTCTACCCTCCTGTACCTACTTATGTAGCTTTCTCTGCCTAGGACATTCTCCTCATTATAATACTCAGCACAGTTTATCATAAATATTTGCTTAAAGATTGTAATCTCTAGTAGAGTTAAGCTTTGTAAAGGCCTGTGAATATTCTGTTAAAATATGGGATTATTGAATTTCATACTCTATATAATACATAATATATATACACAATGAATATTTTTAAATAAATTCACAAATATTTCACCCATTTGAGCAAAATGTTCATGTCCCTATATATCAGTGTTTGATAAACATAAAAACAATATATTATGGCTTTTTCCCTCTTTTATGATAGAATGTGATATTAGCAAGACATTTGATGAAATTTACAGCCAGAACATCTTCATTTCTTAGGTTAACAAAAAAAAAAATAGAGAAACAATTTTCTCAATATATTTGGAAATATTTTATCTTGTCATTATAAATATCTTATCTTTGATAAAGAGTACACCTGAAGGATCAGGTGGTTAAAGAAGAACAACATTAAAAAAGTAATTATCGGCCAGACGCTGTGGCTCATGCCTGTAATCCCAGCATTTTGGGAGGCTGAGGCGGGCAGATCACGAGGTCAGGAGATCGAGACCACCCTGGCCAACGTGGTGAAACCCCATCTCTACTAAAATACAAAAAATTAGCCGGGTGTGGTGGCGTGTGCCTGTAGTCCCAGCTACTGGGGAGGCTGAGGCAGGAGAATTGCTTGAACCTGGGAGGCAGAGGTTGCAGTAAGCTGAGATTATGCCACTGCACTCCAGCCTGGCAACAGAGTGAGACTCCATCTCAAAAAAAAAAAAAAAAAAAAAAAAAAGGAATTATCCTGGATGTTATGATGACAAAGATGTGATTCTTCTCATTATTCTAAGAGTTGTCTCTGCCTTTTTGGGGATATTTGTAACCTCCACTGAGACAGAGTCCTTGTTACTTCACTTCCTGACTGCTTTTCAAATGCCCTAACATCTTCACCTGTATGTTAGGAATGCATTCAGCCAAGGCTGACCTGCAGTTATGAAGTCAGACTCCAGTCTGACTAGTAGGCACTAGCCTACTCAAATCTCATGTCTATGTTTATCCACCCAAAATTATGTGATAATCAATAAAAACATTCATAACATCCTTATTAGGTTAATGTTAAAATATTTTAACATTGATTTTGAACCTTTAAATGACTTGTTGCAGCACACTACATATAATACCTCTGATAAACTGAATTTTTAAGTTGAATCATATATAAGCACAAAATTTGGATATAATTTTATGGAGTAGGTATTTAATAGAATGTAATCTCTTGCCGAATATGTTTATCCTAAATACTGTGCCCCCCGTAATGCTAAAAATCATCAATCTTGTTTCTTTTACTGTCAATTGTAAAAGATGATATTGATTTAACAAGGAATGTTAAAATTCAAGAAAAATGACAAAAAGTTCTGATTATAACATAAAATTGTTACTTTAAAGCATCAATTTTTTTTAATCTCCTAAGAAGTTCTACCATCTTCAAATGTATAAGCGTTGTATACAAAGCACGTATACAGGTTTGTTAACATGATGCCTGGGAGTATTAAACAGATGCACACTGGCAGATGTAACATGAACAGGGTTAAAGGAGAGAAGAAATATCACAGTAGGTATATGTTGAAGACAAGTTATGTCAAGAAATGGTGTATAAAAGTAGAGTTACGTGACTTCTGAATCCAGCCATCTTTCAGAAGTCTGATTGCAGAAGAATAGAAACTCTTACACATTTTTAACATAATTCATAGAAAATAACAAGTAACAAGGGATATAAGACAAATTGTTTTCTGCATGTCAAGTAGTGTTCACAGGACTGAAGAGTACATTTTTACTATGTCCAATTCCTGATAGGTTGTTTACAATTTCACTCATTTGCTTCTCACTCAAAAAATGTTATTAGAATCTGAGTATAAAAAATATTTTCTTATGGAATAATAGTAAATAAATTTGAATTCATATTTGAATAATAAATTTTAAAATCTAATTCATTTTTGACATTATAACCATAGTAATAGGAAAAATTCATAACATGGTCTTTTGAGGTAAAATCAATAATAATGGTAATCATTATTTTCATCCTCATCACCTCTGTGACAGAGTTTCTCAATCTGGGCTCTACTGACACTTTGTTCTCATTATTATTTTATAAGTTGCGGTATCTTGCTATCTTGTGCGTTATAGGACGTTTAGCAACCTCCCTACCTTCTATCCACTTAGATACTAAAAGCATGATCTCTTCCCATTGTGACAATCAAATTATCTGCAGACATTGCTAAAAGTCACCTGAAGGTGCCAAATTAATCTTGGCTGAGGGTACCACTGCTCTAGAGAAAGCTTCCTGGAAGCTCTGAAATTGTTTCTCAAAACTATCTCTATCTGACACTATTAAAACTTTACCCAACGTCTCCACCAACTTCTACAACTTTGGTCCCACTAATACGAAGAAAAGCACTTTTTCCAAATCAGTTCTTCAGATTTGAGGAGAGCCATTATCACCATATTTGAAATTGTTTCTTATGTTAAAAATCCATTGCTATGTATGCTGCCATTTATTTATTTCATACTATTCTTACATCAGAAATTGAAAAAGAAAATAACTTTTCAAATATATTTCAAATTTTTATATTGACTTGAAATCAGAATATTTTACTGGATAATTTTGACCTAAGAACACAATTTTTCTCATACCATTCTTTATAATTATAAAATATTGGCCAGGCACGGTGGCTCACACCTATAATCCCACCATGTTGGGAGGCCGAGGCAAGTGGATCATTTGAGGTCAGGAGTTCAAGACCGGCCTGGCCAACATGGAGAAATCCCTTCTCTACTAAAAATACAAAAGTGGTGGGTGCCTGTAATCCCAGCTGCTTGGGAGGCTGAGGCAGGAGTATTGCTTGAACCCGGGAGGCAGAGGTTACAGTGAGCTGAGATTTTTCAACTGCACTCCAACCTGGGCAACAGAGTGAGACTCTGCCTCAAAACTTATATATACACATACATATACACATATATACATATACACATAATTTATATATATAAATTATATCTTTTTATAATTTAACCTGATTTAATTAGAATTTAGTGTAGTCTTATATTTTGAACATATGAGCTTACACTATTAGTTTATGCCACATTTGATTGGAAGCTCTAGGGAAGCCATGAAACTAATTGAACAAAAGTTACCATACAGAGCAACATGGAAGATTACTATATTTTAATTTTTTATGGTAATATACTCTATCAATGATGGTGCTCCTCCTCCCTTATCAGCCACAGAAGATTCAAATGAGCTGCCCACCTCTGATTTTGGAGGTGGACATTTCAACAGATTTACCTCTGCTAAAGGGTATCATATATGAGGTGCAATTAGAGCAAATGGAAGGTTCATTGATCTCTGCCTGAGTGGGTCAGGAAAGATACAATGGAGCTGAATTTGGTTGAATGAATAAGAATGCATCAATGACAGATTGTTAATGACCCATTAACTTATTCACACCAGAAAAAAACATATTGCATAATGACATAATCAATATGTTTCTGAATTACTGAAATATGTTCTGGTAGGCATTGCTCCAAAGAAGAGCAAGTGATCATAATTCATTTGCTTTATTTGGATTCCCCAATATCAAAATGTCTACATTGAAAAAACAGTTAGTGATCAAGATGCATTAGAAAGTCTCTTTATCAAATTTCAGCCATTTTCTAATGCTTCTGCCAACATGTTAACAGATTTTTATATGGAGGTGGATACTGGTGGTGGAAGATTCCTCCAGAATGTCTCAACATTTCTGCAATCACTTCCTCCCAGCTGAACAAAATGTTTAAGGTTAGTTGCTTGGGTTTTCTCCTGTTAATGCCAGTTGCTCTTGTTTTTACATTCACATACATTTGTTAACTATTTTATAAACAAATTACCATATAAAATAATAATTTTGTCTATGAAGACCTTGAAAAACAATAAAGGGAAATTACTAAAGCCTCTTGGTGGCTATGAGTGGATGAGATGACTGTAAAAGGGTGGCAGCCTAAAAGGATTATAGGCTCAGATTGTTTGCCATAAATTTATGTTCATTCTCAGTTTTTTAGAATAAAATATGAAATTTCTGAGTATGACTTATGCAAAATTAACCACTCAAAACTCCAACTTATGCAGGTAGAGAAACTCATACATAAAAAGTCTTTGGTACCACTTTTAAAATTAGAGAAGAGAATGAACACTATACACTTTAAATAAACAAAAATAATGATTAAGCATCACCTTTTAAGTTTCAATTACAATTATATTTTTTATTAACTTACCTGTTCTTGAGTGAAAATCTTCAGTTAAAACATGCTTCTATTTTATATGTTTGTTACCTATTGTGATTTTCAAGGTATAAACGGTATACAAATAATGAAATTTGACATGATGCTGTAGAATTCTAGAACGTTTTCTGAAAATACTGAGAAATAATAATTTTGTGGACTTTCAGGTTTGGTTGGATCACTTAATGTGAAATCCCATCCAATGTTTCAATAGGATCTGTAGACAGCTCGCCTGCCTCTTTAAAAGTCATTTATTTTTGTGTTTAGATTAGTAGTATATATTTTTTTTGGAAAATTTAGATGAAATACAATAATATGAAGGCTTTACATTAGGGTACCCTACAAATGTAAACAGTAGCTCAGTTTCTTTAAAAGAATAGACTCTAATAACTGTAACCCCTACCTAGAAGTACTAGAAAATTTTTTGTATATTCAAGACAGTTGAATAATCATTTTCATTGTAATGCTATTGACTATTATCAGGCTATGCGACCTGAGAATTATATTTTAATAACGATTTTTTAGTTTTGTTACTGAGTGAATTGTTATCATTAGGAAATTCAGTTTATAAGAATGAACATAGCTTTTCCCTTGAAGTCATTTGAATTAATGATGCACTGTGAATTATTGAAACAGGTGTTTGTTTTTATAACTTAATTTTCCAAAAGGGGGAAGTACAAATAATCATCACA
Source organism: Homo sapiens (assembly GCF_000001405.40). Classification (NCBI taxonomy): domain Eukaryota; kingdom Metazoa; phylum Chordata; class Mammalia; order Primates; family Hominidae; genus Homo; species Homo sapiens. The sequence goes on from NC_000013.11 coordinate 84,754,927, forward strand.
AAATAACAACCTGTGATGGCTTTACACAGCTGTATTTCTCCCATTTTCAAGGGCATTGGGAGCCATTCTTTTATTTCTGACCATCTGCAAACACCACTTAGGGTCATAAGCAAGTGTTACGCATTCTCTGGCATAATATCTTTCTTTCAAGAAACAGTAATTAAGTTAGGATTAAGAAAGTAAGAAGAAAATACTTATAAGGGCTCTTTACACCCACCTGATTTGTACAATGAGAAATTTTATAAAAACATGAAAAAATTCTCCAAGAATAAGTTGTTTTTTGTCTTCAAGGCCCTTCAAATATAGTTACCATAAGAAGTTTTTGTTCTGATTTGTTTTACAGGAATGTTACCAGAGCTGTTATTAAGAAGGGAAATATAGAGCTGCACCGGTAAAGAGTAGAAAAGGTCGCTCTTTTTCCGATTTGCCATTATTTATAACATGGCAAGGATCCAAGGTTGAAGAGTACTGTGAAGGCTGTGGACATCCAGCTTGCTGTGAAATCTTTCTCTGATCTTAGGTGAAACATCGTTTCTTCACTTATCTTTACCCAGACATTTCATAATTTGGTTTCTCATTTTAAACTCCCATTTCTTGAAATACATTGTAAAGATGTTGTTTTATATTATTGTATAATTTAGTTTATGAACATGTAGAGAAGTTTTCTCTACTTTTAATCTCCTGAGAACACAAGAGTCAAATAGTTATTTTTAAATGATTAAGGCTATTAAAGTAAGATTAATATAAAATCTACCATAACACCAAATCTTATTTTAGCCAATAACTGCCATTTGCTTTTCTGAATCCATAGTTGCATTAAAAGCAGTTGTTGGTGAATTCAAATTTCACCCTCTTTCATTACTTCACTTACTGAGGTGTGTGTAGAAAGATAATGAAGTTTTTATTGTAACTGGAAGCTAAATCATGAGCCATACAATAAAGATTTTTTTGGAAAAAAGTAACTAAATCAACATTGTTATTTTAATGCAATTATATTATTGCAAAAAATAAATTCCACTATATTCTTATGTTCTTATTTTAATAAATTATACATTTTTTCTGCTCTCCTGCACTTGAAACCTTTAGCTTCTGTAATGGTTAATTTTATGTGTCTTCTTGGAGGGTGTTTTCGGATGAGATTAACATTTAAATTGGTAGACTTTGTATAAAGTGATTGCTCTTCATAATATAGGTAGAACTCATCCAGTCAGTTAAACCCCTGACTAGAACAAAAAGACAGGTCTTCCCAATCCAGAGGGAATTCTCCAAGAGACGCTTACGAAGGACCACAGCTGAGACATTAGCATTTCTCATCCTCCTGCTGACCCACATTACAGACTTTGCTTTACAGTGTTGGAGCTTTCTGCTGAGATATCCACAAGCTCAGAGATTCTTTCCTTAGCATTGTCCAGTCTACTAATAATCACATCAAAGCACTCTTCATTTCTACTAGTGATTTTTTTTCTCTAGCATTTCTTTATTGTTCATTCTTACAATTTCCATCTCTCGGCTTAGATTGTCCATCTGTTTTTGCATGCTGTCTACTTTATTCAGTAACATATTAACAATACTTGGTTTGAATTACCAGCATGACAATTCCAACATTCCTATGATATCTGAGTCTAGTTCTGGTGCTTGCACTGTCTTCAAACTTTGGTTTTTGCCTTTTAGCATGTCCTGGAATTGTGTGTGTGTGTGTGTGTGTGAGTGTGTGTGTGTGCGTGTGTATGTGTGTGTGTGTGATGCTAGACATGATGTACAGGGAAAAGGGGAGTGCTGTAAATAGTCCTTTAGTAAGTAATGTGGTGGTAAGGTCTTGGGGAAGGGCAAGCATTCTATAGTTCTATGTTTAGGTCTCAGTCTCTTATTGACCCTGTGCTGCTGCTTCTCAGTTCTTCTGTTTCCCAAGTGGAGGGTGGGAAAGAACAGCTAGAGTGGGCTGGATTTGAAGATTTCCCTTCCCCCCAGGTCAGATAGACTCTGATAAAAACCCTAGCAGGATAAGCTTTGGTTAGTTTCTCCTGAGGGCAGACCTTGTAAAAAAGAACAGAATGTTCTGGCATATTTCGAACTGGTTTCTTTTTCCTTCTATCTGTTAGAAGCACATGAAGAATTTTCTTTGATATTCATTGTGAGAAACTGGTAGAGCTCCAGGAGGTAAAACTCAAAAAGATGTACTCAACGGCATCACCGGACCCCCTGAGTTTTTCTCTTTTGTCTGCACTGAACGTCTAGGCAGTCATCAATTACATTTAGGTTTCTCTACCCCAGCACTGGTTCCCAAGGAATTTTGTGCTTGTGGGTTTCTGCTCTGTCAGGTTGTGATTCTCTGTATGTCTCTGTTGAACTCTCTAATTTTGGGGCAGCAGTTTTTCCTTTGACCTCCAAGTCTCTTATATTTATAAGAAAAGCTGTTGCTTTTTTCCAGTTTGTTCAGCATTTTACTTGTTAGGATGAAATAGCTACTTCCAAGCTTCTGAAATACTGGACCAGAAATTGCCTACATTAGACTTTGGAATTGCTGGCCTCCATAGTCACATGAGCCAATTCCTTATAATACATTTTTTTCTGGGTTGGTGTGGTGGCTCATGCCTGTAATTTCAGCGTTTTGGGAGGCTGAAGCAGGTGGATCACTTGAGGTCAAGAGTTCAAGACCAGCCTGGTCAACATGACTAAACCCTATCTCTACTAAAAATACAAAGAAATTAGCTGGGCGTGATGGTGCACACCTGTAGTCCTAGCTATTCGGGAGGCTGAGGCAGGAGAATTGTTTGAACCCAGTAGGCAGAGGTTGCAGTGAGCCGAGATCACACCACTGCACTCCAGCCCAGGCAACAGAAGAGTGAGACTCCATCTCAAAATAAATAAATAAATTTATATAAATATGTTATATGTAAAACAAATAAATATATTTTATATATATGTTATGTTTGTTCAGTTTTATATTGAGTCTACTTCTCTATAAAAAACTTTTTTAAATTTAAAAGACATTTGAATTTGAACTTTTTATAATAATGTTAATTCTTTCAGTTATACAGTAGAATTGAAATGGAGCCAATATACTAATTTTGTCCAACATTTCAGCTCTTTAAATTTTATATCAAGGAGAACTCAAAGTTTATTACTTATTATCCTTAAAATACAATACTGCTTCTAACAAAGTAGAAAAATCATTGCTTCCAAAAACTGGGCCACTGCCATTTTGATAGTGATGACTATGTTATGGTTTTTCCTTTCTCTATTATACAAACAGATCTTTTCCACTCAAGAAATTACCAAATCTATTAGGATTTTCAGTAGTGTGTTTAATATAACAGTTTGTATACTCCATATTATTTTGCTCAATTTTGCAATTATTAACATACAGATACCAATTCTGATCCTTCTCTTTGAGAAAACTGCTATGAAATTTTAATCAAAAGCTATTTAACCTGATTTTGTCATTGTCTGTTTATATCATCTTTCAAATATAAGCACTATTAAGACTATATGCTCCATTCACTACAACTTTAAAGGTGTCTTTTCTTGCATGGTGGACACCTTAGTGTTTTGGTGCAGTAAGTCCCAGGAGTTGCTGCCAATGTGTTACAGTTTCTTTTTTTATGAAGCTAAATGAAAAAGTTAATGGTGACATAGTAAATTATTTATGTATTTAAAGTGTTACATCTTAGAAGTCTTATTCTGAGATCATGACTTTCCTACTCTTTAGTGGTGAATTATATAGAAGATTGTATATTAGATTTGAGAGGCTGCTCTTTGTTTTGCCCCATTTCAAACATTTGCTTTGCAAAAAATAAAAAGTTGTACTTCATATATTAGAATATCTTTTTGAAAAAAACTTTTTATTGTTCTATTTTGTAAAATTGAAAAGTATGGAGATAACTCATTTGAAATATACATTGTTTATATTTTAATATTAAACTTTAAAATGTGTTTGAAATTTAAAATGATTTTATCAAATAAAGTAGCCGGCAATATAAACTCCAAACCAAATCGAACTTTTTGAAAATGCTATTTTTAAAAAATTTTTAAACTGCAAGGATTGATGCTATTATCTGCCATCTTGACACAAACTAGCATAACTCTCTGAGTTGTGCATGTGTTGGCTCTGATGCTTTTGAAAAAATTACATAAAAGTCCTTCTCCATATCAAGGAACCATAGTCTGTTGAAAAGAGCTAAAGTTAATGAATTAATAATTGCATAGGGGCCGTGAATTATGAAACTGATTTCTGAATTCAGGTTACATGTAGAGTTAAAGAAAAAACAAACACAAATAGAAATTTAAGTGCAGTAGTCCCCCTTTATCCAAAGTTTCACTTTCTATAGTTTCAGTGACATACAGAAAGTTACTACAGAAAAATTTTGAACCACTGCCTGAAAATATTAAAAGGAAAATTCCAGGAATAAACAATTCATACGTTTTAAATTGTGTGCCCTTCGGAGTAGCGTCACGAAATCCTGCACTATCCCTCTTGGGCTGTGAATTACTCCTTTGTCCAGTTTATCCACACTGTATGCACTACCCATCCATTAGTCACTTAACAGCCATCTTAGTTACCAGATTGAAAAAGCCATGTATATATAGATAGATAGATAGATAGATAGATAGATAGATAGATAGATAGATAGATAGACAGATAGATAGATAGATGGGTATATCTATATCTATATCTATATATATATATGGCTTCCTACTATCCAGGGTTTCAGCCATCCATGGGAGGTCTTGGAATATATACACTGAGAGAGATAAGGACTACTGTTAATTTTTTAACAGTTCTTCTTTCTATTAAGTAACTGGAATGTGCCAAGCAGCCAGACAACTTGGCACTTGTTACCTTCAACCTCAAATGACCAAGACAAATAGATATTATTAACCCACATTTAACAGTTGGAAAATTTGAAACTCTGGAGATTAATTTCCTGCACTATAACGTAGCTAAGATATGACAAAGAAAAGATTCCACATAGGACCACAAAGCTTCAAATGTAATGATTCTTAGAGACATCAATTTTAAAAATTTTGAGTTTGTATCAGTAGTCTACTTCACGTGTTTTAGAATTTTGTCATTTATATCTGAAAATATATTAATATGATTAATATATTTTGTAATTCCCCAACCCTTGCTAATATAAGTTGTTTTATGTGACAAAATAGTAAATGCTTCTACTCCTGCTATCACTATTTCTGGGGTAATCACATAGAATATAAAAAGTAATCAAATCATAAACATTGTGTTCATATTGACTGATTACATTTGGATTAAGAAAACTTTATGCCTAATTCTGGACTTTTTTACATGTCATAATTGAGAGAAAACAATATTTCATAATCAGTGCTAATATTGCATATATGAGTATTCCTTGGGGGTTTTTTTTGGCTGTGCACTTTTTTCTGTTTATTTCTCATTTATTTGGCCGACATTTTTATTTTTATATTCCAGTTCTGATATTTCTGATTCATCAATCATGTCTCATTTCTTCTACTTACATTTCGTAGACATCTAGAGTGCTGTTTAATAGCAATTGATATGTGTATTTGATAATTACCTCTAGCTTATCTCTATTAATTACTAAATGGGATATTGGGAAAGATACTTGATTTATAAAGCACTCAATCTCATCAATAAATGGAGAAAATCAAAGTACTTATTTCATAAGGCTGTTATGAGAACTAAATTAGAAAATATATTTAGAGGTTAGTTCAGTCTGTGGCACATTCTGTTTAATGTATGTTAGCAATACTCAGTTGTTGCTGTATTGTGGCACTCAGTGCTTAATATATAACAGCAATTGTTTTGTTCCATGGTAATTTGTAGATCTCTTTCAAGATCACTGCAAGACACTATACTTACCAGGGCTGATGCACATGGCCACTCAAGCTTTACAGTGTGAAAGTCTAGGAAACATCTTTCACATAGATTTTAATATGGATGATGCTGACTGAAGTAGTACAATGCAATGGTCCCTGAATCTAGTCAGCTTGCAACAGAATAAAATCAGAAACATTTCAACTCTATATTATATTTTCCCTCTAAGTCACTCATACCTAACATGACAGTGTTAGTTGCCTATTCAGATAGCATTTCTTTTTTTTTTCTTGCCAAAAATAATCTAGATGTAATTCAGGTATGTCTGAAGGTGCTATGTTCAGGAAAAATGGGCCTCTTCCTAGTCTCACAGGATGAGTGATGGTTGAACTAAATGAAGTACAACAATCTTATTCCCCTGTGTCAGTAATAGATTTAAGGGGATTGACAAGTGACGCATTTCTGGCCTATGATATATTAGGCTGTTAGGCTGGGTGGTCTGATGGAAAATGTTTTCTACTGTGACTAAAAAATGTGTAGAGAGACACTCTCCTTTTGTTTGTTTGGAGGAAGTTATGTAAGCAAGAGTGTCCTGCAGATGAAGTAGCCATAGTATTTTATTTTTACCTGTTTAGAACTATTATTATTTACGTATTTTTATTTATAAATGACACATAATTGTCCATATTTATGGGACACAATACAATGGTTCAGTGCATGTATACATTGCATAATGATCAAATGGGGTAATTACCATATCCATCACTTTAAACATCATTTCGTTGTGGTGACAATATTCAAAACCTTCTCTTCCAGCTACATTGAAATATATAATACATTGTTGTTTGCTAGTATTGTTACCCTACTGTATAATAGACCACCAAAACTTATCCTTCCTAATTGTGACAGTTTACCCATTGAACAACTTTTCACTGTTCCCCCGTCCCCACCCCTCTCCAGCCTCTGGCAACCGCAACTCTATTCTCTACTTCTATGAAATCAACTTTTAAATTTCCACATGAATGAGATTATATGGTATTTGCCCTTCTATGCTTGGCTTATTTCACTTAACATAATGTCCTCTAGTTTTATCCATGTTGCTGCAAAAAGTAGAATTCCATTCTGTTTTATGGCTGAATAATATTCCGTTGCATATATAGACCACATTTTCTTTATCCATTGATCTGTAATGGGCATTTAGGTTGATTCCATATTTTGGCTATCATGAATAGTCAAATACTAATAAATAAATAGTAATAAACGTTGGTGTACAGATGTCTCTTTGACATCTTGTTCTCATTTCCTTTGGATATATACCCAGTAATGGGACTGCTGAATTGTATGGTGGTTCTATTTTTTTTTTTTTTAGAAATCTCCATATAGCTTTTTATAATGGCTGTATTAATTTACATTCCTTCCAAGAGTGTATAAGGGGACCCTTTTATCCATGTCCTTACCAGCATTTTTTATTTTTTGTCTTTTTGATCATAGCCATTCTAACTAAGATGAGGGGTAATGGCATTGTAATTTTAATATGCATTTCTCTGATGATTACTAATGTTCAGCATTTTTTCCTGTATCTGCTGACCACTTGTGTATCTTCTTTAGGAAAATGTCTATTCAGGTTTTTAGCCCATTTATCAATCAGGTTTTTGGGGTTTTTTTTGTTTGTTTGTTTGTTTGCTCTTAAGTTGTTTGAGTTCCTAATATACTCTGGATATTAACCCCTTGTCAGATACATAGTTTGCAAATACTTTCTTCCATTTCATAGGCTCTCTTCACTTTATGGTTTTCTTTGCGGTGCATAAACCTTCACCAATCTGGATGTGGAAGGAACACACTTCAACACAATAAAGGCCATATACAACAAACCCACAGCTAACATCATACTGAAGTAGCCATTTTAATCATGAGCCAGCAAGCCAGTGGATAAAATAAGAGATTTGGGGCCTAGCTAAATGCCAGTGTAGATAATCCAAATGTACTGAATGAAATTATTCAGAAGTAGTAGCATCTATTTTCCATTTACTGTTATCCACAGTTTTGGTTGAGCTTTCTATTAATTGCATGTGAAAACATTCTAATACATTTATTTCAACTGACTTGTCTTTTTATTGACAAGGTGACTTTTAATCCTGTTTTCGATTCTTCTCTCAGTATGCTTTTATTAGAGGGAACATATTCTCTGTCTCTCTTCTTCTAACTCTGTCATTTTAATTACTACATATTTTCAGTGCAAAAACCAAATACACTTTTAAACAATTATATGTGTTTAATCTCCACATTACCTGTCATTTATTTACTCAGCTGTGAAATGGAGACAGTATATGCCTCCAAGGGTTACTGTGAAGACTCTCCAGGAAAATTACAAACATGTTCTAATCCTTTAGTGAATTGTCTTTTAGTCTTCTAGTTGGTGAAAATATATATTAGCTTTAAAAGATTTTTTTAAAATTTTATATACTAAAATAAATCTTGACTAAAGGGCTTTCATAAACTACAAGCACTTAGAAATGAACAAATGTTATCTGCTGCATATAATTTGCCAAATACCATCGTAATCCTGACTTATCAGTAGTACATGTTCAGTGTATTATGTACACTGATCATTTGTAGAGTAGAGAAATTCAAAGAAAATAAATATTTATAAGCCCCGGCTATATTATGATACAAATAATAAATTTCAATTATGTCTATAGTCATAAATTTTTGTGATATTTCTTCAATTCTAGGGAAAATTAATGGTTTTTCAGAAAACAACTAACTTAACCCAATTTCTCTAGAAAAATGAATATTTTATTCTGAGATTCACCTTGGAGGTATATTGGCTGGTGATGGTTGTTTTAATGGCAATATATTCTCACATAAAGCTTATCATATTCCCCACAGGCTATTTTTTCTCTGTGTTTTTGACTTTCAGAGAATATGAACAAAATTTATGAGAGTTTTTTACCTTATTGTGAGAAAATAATTCTTTATTTATAGAAAAAAAGGCACTTTAGATATTGGCAATACAGTGATGTACTGAGAAAGCAATTCAAGTGGCTCCATGAAACCTGTTTCATATCCTAGTCATTCTTTTTGTTCCCCCAGAACAAGATGATGTAAAGAATGAATGAAGGAGGTATGACAATATTTATAGTGTCTGCTGTGAGGCAAGCATTTTAGCTGATGTTCAGAGTAGATCATCTCATTGTAAGCCTCACTCATCGAATCAATCAAATGAGTGGATATAATTCAACTTTTATTAATAAATGGGGGGTTTGGGGTTCAAAGAGGCATAAATAATGACGGCATGACCATGTGGCTTAGTTTATTAAATGCGATATTTCACAACATAGAGAGTCCTGTTTTTTAAGTTTCTGGCACCAACATTTCAATTTCTCTACTTTTTAACAGCTATCTCATAAAGTGTATAATGTGTTATCATTTAACTGTAGGCACCTACTTGGCAAACCAAACACCAAACTTTCAGGTAACTCACCTTCAAATGCCTTTTGGTGTTTGTTAACAGTTTTATTATAGTATATTAGTAACATTGTATATTTATATTGTGCTTAGAGTTTATATTCCACTTTCACAAAACTCTTTTCTTTCATATTTCTGCTAATTATTATAGTAAGTTACTGCCATTTTATAGTGAGAAAACTAAGGTTCATGTAAGACACTGTAATTTATGCTGAACTCAGTTATTAACCTTTACCTTTCTGCCAAGATGGAAGTAAGTTAATTTCTCACAGATACTAGCATGCTATTTTAAATATATACAATTATAACACATTAGCAATAGCATTCCAACAAAAATACATTTATTGAGCACATTTTATGTGCCAGACCATATGCAGTACTTCTATTATGCCTTTAATCTTCACAGTAATTCTGTAAGTTAAATCCCACTGTTATATTCTCTATATGTTTCTTAATATTATACTCATTGATGAGGGTAAAGTGAACTCTCTCAAGATCCAGTAAGTAGCAGAACTCAGAGTCAAGAATAGCCTTTGAGTCTAGAACTTCCAAATTCAGAAATATCACACTATTTTGTTTCAAGTTTTATCATTTGGCCAGTAGACCAACAACTATTTAAATGAAAAACATAGTTTTTAATACTTATGTTTTCAGTGCCTAGCCTATTCCTTGGGTTTTAATAGGTTGTATTAAATGTTTTCAAAGAAAATAGTCTGTTATTATATATTTTTTAAGCCTTGCAATACATTGAAATTGAATTGGTAATTAAGAATATAAAGTGCATGACATCTTATTGACCTGTTTAGTATATCCTACATGTTCAGAACAGTGCATCACATTTGACAGATATTCATTGAATAATCATTGAATGGTTGATCTTAATTTACTATAATAGGAAAAATATAAGGATGTAATATTGAGTAATATTGGATTGAGGCAGAAAGGGAAACTAAAATTTGGAGAAGATAATTCAAAAGTTGGAGTAGAGAAATGAGAGATGTGAGCTGGAAAGTGCACACTCCAATAAACTCAAATTCTCATTCAGAGTTTTCAAAAAGCATTCAGTGAAGAGATCACAGGGGAGCACTCCACATGACAGAAACCATGCCATATAAACAGCCATCAAATGGGATGTTTTACTGAAAGAAAATAAGTTTTCAGTATTTATGGGTACTGAAAAAAATTGAACTTTAATATTTCACATTGACTATACAAAATACAGTCATTTTGTATTTGGCATACCTTCTGGGTACACCATATTTTCTTTACTTAAATCTCTTAATTGTGTTACCAAATTACTTTTCACAGATTTAAGGACTTTGAAAGAATTGGAAAATATGGCAAAAATAGGCATGAAACATGGCAGAATTATAATAACATGTAAAATACCTAATTTTTCTTGGAAAAGTTGAGCTATGGGCTGTATAATATGTTTTGGGAAAATATTTGCTTCCAATTAATTTATCGGCCATGTCAAATAGGACAGGATACCTTCTTAATGTATAAAATTATCAAGTTGGAGTATATCATTTTCCCATGGTTTTGCCTCTGAAAAAACTATCAAGTGCTCCTTTTTTTGTAAGAGTGTTTAAAAATATTAAAACACACAGTGAAACTACAATTGCTTAAAATTATTTAACTATTAAATATTACTAAAGAAATCATGATGCTAAATTTAGGATACCCATCATAAGATGTGAAGTATAAAAACTGTACCATAAAAGAAAAAATAATCAAAATAGAGAATAAATAAACTACTAGCTATTTTTAAAAATAATTTGTATATTTTTTTGAAAAATTAAGTAAATTTTTTAAAAGAAGAAAAAAGCAGATTATTTTATGTAAAAAAGTCGACATTTGAAATACATTTTTTAAGCTATAATTACACATAGAAAAATACAGATTTAATATAAAGCAATATCTTTTTGTTATTAACTAAATTCAAATCATATATTTTTATGTTTTAAATAATCTTGGTTGACTTTAAATCTCTATGATGATGCTAATATAAATATTGAAACACTTTATATATGTGTGTGTAACACAATTGATATTAAAACAAAATTATAAAAGCATGATGTAATAGACACATCTAAACTTATTCCTGTACTCAGTTCATTATCATCTTCCTAAATATGAACTCTATTAGATTTATCTTATAACTAAAAAATATAGGGATACATATTCATTTTAATTCAATTAATCAGGTCATTTGACATTTCAAAAATAACATAGCTTCAGAATACAGAATATGCAGAGTATTTTCATATATATAAGAAAATACATATATATAATCATTAAAGCTGGGTGTTGTCTGTCTGATCGTAGCTAGTGGCTGAATTTTATTTTTTTTTTCCAAAAGAAATCAAAGAAATAAAAATATTTTGGGGCATGTCTGAGACATACTTAAGCCTTGGATGTAAGTTATAAGATAGTCATTTTTTTTGGAAACCAGTATTTGAACTCATTATGCAACACAATATCCGACAAGTAGTCTGAAAATGTGATTACATACCTGGGCAGTTCTGTAAAATACACTCATTTATTGAATTTCTACCACATGCTTATTACCATAATAAAATATTTCAACACTGAATGAGAGACATTTTCTATAGACAAAGATCTTAGTGGCAAGATATTAGTATAAAAGATAATTAAATTGCAGCTTAATGAATGTTATAAAAAGGAGGATAGAGGAAGTTTATGAAGGATACTGAGGCACAGATAAGTTAATTATCTTTATTTTTCCAAAAAACTTCAGTCATACTGAAGAAATAATACTAAATAATTATAAATCAAATGTGTTTCAATAGGAAAGCACATGATCTATATCTATAGTTGAAAGTTTTCAAAAGAATGCTAGAGGAAATATTGAAATGATAAAATCATTGTTTTTTATCTGCTCTCTTTTTCAAGTAACATTTAACAAATAATTTATATGTACATTGAGTGGAGAAAAGTGTGGATGCTCATAGCTTTGAGTAAATCAATCACAAACATTGATTTTTAATTAACCTGTCAGTCATTCACCAAAGGGATAATTTGTTTCATTTAACTTTAACATTTTACTTTCTGTTAATTAAATAATTTAGTAAAGCATAAAGTCTACAGAGATGAACAAAAATAGTGCTACATTTTATAGCAAAGTTAAGCACAGCTTTATATAAGTTAAATAATCCAGTTGGTTAACTTCACTTGTGAAATCTACTAAATGCCCAACAAACAAAATAATTATGCAAAATTTCTTAATAAAAACCTATGAGAACTATTTGATTCTTCTCTCTTTTCTTCTTTGTCTAGATAGCGGTCATGAGGAATTATCTTACAGTCCATTGAAATGCTTATCATTAGAGAATCAATATTTGTATTAATGTTTAGCTCTCTGAAGACAGCATGTAGTTTATGTTCCATGCCAGAAAAGAAAGATTCACTTTTTTTTATAAATTTTGACTGGGTCATCGACAAGAATTATCTATAAATTCCTGGAGTCCAATGGGGGAAAATACCCCACATTAAAGTTGTATTAAATTGCTTTACATTAAGATCTTTAGATGTCATATTATATTACTGAAAATTTGAAAATAATAACACTTATGAATTGAAGTCATAATTCAAAAAGTAGTTGAAAAAATTCAAATGATGTATAGAAATATATATGTATGTATTATGTATCTGTGTGTAATATGTACATATATACATACCTACATCTAAATGATATATATCTCATATAGATCTGATATATATATCATTATATCTCAAATATGTGAGATTATATATATATATATATAATATGACTTAGAAACAAGAACACCATGCATGCTTGGTTCTGGTATAGTACAAAGATGATAAATAATTTCAGTAGCTTATAAAAAATTGATAAATGAAAACATCATTTCTTCTACATTATTTATTATTGTTATAGAAAATATACTCACAAATATTACTTAAATTAATTTGCTACATGCCAGGACCTAATTCGTTATGATTTGTTGATGTTGCATTTATGAAATGAGAATATCGCCTGATCTTTTCAAAGCTTTGGAAACATACAAGAAAACTTTGGGTTTTTGAGTCAGAGACCTGGGTTGGAATATTGATTCTGTTCACTAATACTCTTATAACCTTGAACCATTTAACCAATATTTTCAGATCTTTAAATAAAAAATAGAAGCATTCACTTTTTAGAGTTGTCATGAAAATTAAATTAGACACATCTGTAAAATACCCTAGTCCACTGCAGGCACTCCTATGTGAGTTTCTTTTTATTTTCAAAGAATAATTGAATTCTACATATGATCAAATGCTTAGTTGTGAAAGCTTTTGTTTTCTAAGTGAAGAAACATTATAGAAACTTAATTGTAATATTGTTGACTTTTACATGCATTACATTTATTTTTATATGTACGCTTTGTATTAATAAATTCATGTGGTAGGTCGAGAGAATAGTCATGACATTTTGACATTTTAATAATCAAGCTCCTTATACTATCTTTACCACTTGAATATTACAGAACCTTGAGAAAAATTACACACATTTAATTAGAATGTCTGAAAAATGCCGATAGCAACCTGTCTTACGATGTAATCATATGAACTTATTTAATACCCATTGTAAAATAATAATATAAAAATACCAAATGTAAGCATTTTTGAGAAATGTAATATTCTCTTTGTCTTCAACCTAAAATAATTGAATTTAAATTATGATTTTGGTGGATTTTACTTAATAATTTCATATCTATCTCTATTAAAATTTCTATATCTACGTCAATATTGGCATCAAGATATATATATATAGACAAATGTACTATCTATATATATATAGACAGATGTTATATATATATAGACAGATATACTCTCATATGAAAACCATTCACCGTTTGGTCATTCTTAAACTTTTGTTATAATAAAAATTTATACTTAGGTTTATAATTGACTAGTCAATCTAAAATAGATTTTAAAAATATTTCTCTTTAAAATAGGACTACTAAGATAGTGGTATGTGTCAAACAAATTTTATAGATCACCTCATCAAAATATTATATATACATTTATATTACATTTCATATTAAATATCAAAAATCATACAAAATACTAAAGGTTTATATGTTACATTATTTCAAACTAATTTGATGAGATTATATCATATGAGATTTTTTAAATAAAGGTAATGAAATGTAAATATGTTCAGTACTGTACACACAGATTTCTTTTTTCTAAATAATTATTATTATTCTTGAATACTGGACAGCATACTTGATAGTAAAATACAGATATATATTCTATTTGTGAAATTTGTCATAATTAGGTAGCTGAGAAGTAATAACTTTTTCATTTCCTTAATGTGCTTTCAGTTTAGAGAGAAATACAGGTCTTTAAAACTGTGAGAAATTAGTATGTGATAAGTTATAATCTAAGAGAGCTATGCAAAAACATTTATGAATGCTGGCTTATAAATATCAGAATAATGAAACACCAAGTTAACTAAAATGCAGTTTCCATTCATTGCCTATTTTATTTTATTCTATTACATGAAGCAGCTCACTAATCACTAAGCATTGCAAAACATTATTTAATTGTTCTCTATTATGCCATTCTGATAAGAAAATTTTATTCAATAATTGAACAATCATTTTCAAGTGTTTATGAGTGCTTCAGAAAATACAAGTAATATATACTTCCTCAACTTAAAGGAGTCCATTAGTGATATAGATACAAACCAAACTAACGCTACTGCAGAGAAGAAAGAATAAATTCAAGGGAAATAGAAATAACCTATACAGCAGCACAGGAATGGAAGAAATTAATTTCCACAGAAATCAGGCAGTCAGTTTCAAACTTAAAATCTCAGTTATAAAATGAGTTAAGGAAAAACTGGATAAGGCCAGCTAGCCTCATTAACATTTCATTTCACAGTGAATACTCTAAGAACTTCATCCCCTTTACATAATGGTACATAACTTCATGGGTTTTGTGACTTTTTCTGTATCTCCACAGGAATTTTGGTGTAAACTTGAAGAAGCTACAAGTACTATTAGCCTGAAGCCATGTTAAATTAATATTTGCTGGTACTTCAAATAAATATAGTAATGAAATCATCTTTGTCCTTTCAGCTAACCATACAACTTCCATCTTCATTTAGCTATTAAAATATCAGATCAGAAATAAACTAGACATATTGGTGAATCTATTCACTGTCACTAATCTCTTTTTTTCCTTCCATTGCCCCCCTCCCCACACTGTTCCTATTCCAGTTTGAGATAATGACAATGTCCTTTGTAAGAAATCTGTTTAGTAAAATTTAATAAAGACAGTTTGCATTTTTTTTTGGATGACATTACTGGTTACCAGGTTGAACCGAGTTCCCCCATCTACCTTCCAAGCGCGCGTGCGCACTCACACACACACACACACACACACACACACACACACACACACACATATACAAATGCTAGATTAAATGTGAGAAAACTATCTTAGATATTTATTTCGCTAAGCTTGAAACCAAAACAGAAAATGAATAACTGGGACAGAAGACATAATAAACTTAAATTCAGATGGAAGAGCTGAAGGTGAAACCCTCATGGTTCCTGAGAGTACTATACATAACAAATGAAGGATGACAGGGTTGTGCAATCTAAAGGAAGTAGTGTAAAATTTCTATTATTGCATTGTTTCTTTTAGTAAAGGCACTACTTTTGTAGGCTGTCCAGAAATAGCATCCCATCATCTTTTTCATCAACACCATTTAATAATCATCCACCGGACTGTATTTCTAATACTCGTCAAATACTTCAGATTCTACTTCCTCCTCGTCATATATTAGGTTAGTTTCCTTTGCTCTATTTAAAAAACCGTGTCTAATTTGTATTGTTTCAGATTTTCTTTCTTCCATAGAATTATCTCCTTGGCCATCGTAAATTCATAAAATATAAGTTTGAGCTAAATTTAATGTTATTCCTATTTCTTTGTTTTACATGGCTCTGGATTAACGCTTAAATAAATCTCATACCTTTTAACCAGCACATAACATCACTCACAATCTCATCCTTTCTCACTTTTCCAGATTTCCTACATTCTTCTTGAATTTTCTTCCCAGCTATGTCCATATACTTTAGTTTGACAACTGTAATCTTCTTCGTTCCTCTGTGCTCCATTACCATTAGAATTCCCACTTTTATGACTTCATTTTGTTTACACTTCTCTCCTCGTACTTAAGGATTTTTCAAGCATTCCTGCTCATTAGGAGACTCCTCTCTTGGCAACCAATTCCCCTTTCCTGCTTCTATAATGTGTCCTCCATGGTATGAACACCATTATTATAAAATGTACAGAGCTGAATCATAGCTGCCTACTTTTATGGCCTTCGTCCCCAAGTTGTTACTATACCTACTGATGCAATGTAGATACTCCATAGATATTTGTTGAATTAGTAGATGAATTGCATTGTTCTGGGCTCTTTTGGGAGGACACCAGTTCATTTATTCTTTCTGGATCTGAGTTTATTAATGGGCTGATTATAGAAGATTGAATTTATTAATTGTTATGGCCCTTGTACAGTCCTTAAAATGGCCTACAAAGCCCTCCAACGTCTGATCCCATCACTTCTCTGACCTCATTCTCTCTTCATCTCTCCCACTGTTTCAGCAAGGCTAGCTTTTTGCTGCTGGTCAAATATACACAGCATGAATCCAACTTAGGACCTACTTTTTCAGGCCTGGATGCTCTCTCATGTTAACCACATGGCAAACTCCTCATATCATTGTTCTAGACCTTCTCATTGAAATGTACTTTAAAAACTAATATATTTTATAAGCAATACATAGAATAGAATATCTATTCTAAAGACTCCAATTTTATTTTTTTTTCTGCCACCTTTCCCTTTGTAACATTTTGTTTACTATTTATTATATTTACTGACTGTTATCTAACTGGAAAGTCACTTATGAAGACAGAAAGTTTTGTACAAGAATATATTTCAGGTGCTCAGAAAAGTTATCATATCAATAATTATGTGTTGACAACATGAACGCAAGTAATTTATAATTCTAGAAATAAAGCCAAAATTTTAGGCTGCATTTCAAACATTCTATAATCAGTTTGAAAACCATCGGGAACAATGTTCACTATTTGGATGATGGGTATACCGGAAGCCCAAACCTCACCATTGCACAATGTACTCATGTAGCAAACCTGCATCTGAACCCCCTGAATCTAAAAGAAAATAAAATACAACTTAAAAAGACAGAAACAAAACAATTTTTTAGTCTCATTCATACTATTTTTATTTAAAAACATCACACCCCATCCTCTGCTGATGTTAGAAGAGCCGGCAATGAAGAAAGTATACTCACTGTGTTCCAAAAAACTTTTTTATATTTTCACTGTTGTATATGGCTTTGCTCAATTTGTCTACCTAGAACTCTGTTTTCCCTACCTTCTAAACATAGAATTAATTATGTCTTTAATGTCTATCTAGTGTCTAATCCAAATTAGAATGAGAAAAATCTTCCTTATCTCCTTAGTTGTAAGTTATTTATCCTTATGCAAAGTTACTAGCATCATATACTATATTTGATTTTTAATAACTAAAGCTAAAATCAAGTTATTATTTGAGTGATTATGGGTTATCTTATTACCTACATTACAACTTTTTTGATATGTAACATGCATATGTACATGTATTACTTTATATATACATGCATGTATATGTGTATTTATATACACATATATGCACACTACACATTCATATACAGTTTGAATTGTTTTTGTTTTCCATAATTATAATCACAAAATAGACTCAATAACTATCTGAAAGTAACTTAAGGCACTATGCAAAAGACACTAAATTGTATGCACCACTTAATTAATCCACAAGAAAGCACTCTTTTTCATTAGCTTTTAGAATTTGATTGCCAAATAAAAATATGTAATTTTTGGTTCTCTCTATGGGATAGGAAGAACAAGAAAATTATTTCTTGAAATGAGTTAGATATAATTAGGAGGCTGCTAATTATATTCTATTTTAATGACTGCTAATCAAGGATCCACTAAACCTCAGTAAGTTCATATGGAAGGTTAATGGCAAGAGAAATGATTTCGATTTATTTCCCAATTCAAGCTGAAAAGTCAGAATAAGTTGTCCTGTCCTCTGGTGATTGATGGAGCAAATGTTCCAGCAACAATTCTTACAGCATATTAATGATACAATGAATTCAGAGTATTTTATTTTATCTCAAAATTGCATCTAGAAACTTCTTAACAATCATCATTTTAAAATAAAAACATTTTCATTCTAATCACATGCTTATACAGGATTCTATTAAAACAGAGCCCTCTAGTTGTCTTAATAGAGCAGATGGCAAAGTATGTCTCAGGGCTATATGCCTAACGTGTTGTCTACTGACTTCCCAAATGAAGAAAAACCCACACTCACCACAGATCAAACCTGATTCTCAAGGAGGATTTGTAGTAAATGCTCTTTTTATTATTATCTCCTCTATCCTACTTTTACCCACTAAATCTCAGACAAGTCTTACATGCATTAACTAAAGAGAATAATTTTCCCCAAAGTTATTACTTAGGAAATAGAGATACTTTTGAGTCTTCACAAATGTTATAAATTCAGGTGGAGGGGTCTAATTCAATTACTTGTTTTCAAGAAACTATTCTTTGGAGAAGACACCTCTCTTTCCATCTACTGAGACTATTCTTTCCCTAGATATCTTCACTGATATTTTTTCAGATATGTAGCCAGGTATCATTTTAATACACAAGTTTTTCTTTATGTGTTTGAATTACAAATACAAAATAGTATTTCTGGCTTTATGTTTATCTTAAATAACTCTAAGACCTCATTTCTTACACGGTTTTCTTATAAGAGAGATCCATAGTTTTCATTTCCCGTGTTAGTACTTTGAGTACCTTGTGTAAATCTAGCTGACATTGTTATTGCTTTATTGTTATAAATGAGACAGGGGAATTATCAATATTTTATATGGCTCAATTCCATGAATGTCAGGCATTATCAGATGTAGACAATGTCTGATAAGTCACAGGAAAGGAGCTCATTTAATGAACTACTCTAAATAAGAGCCAAACTTGTAGGGTGAGCTAGTATAATAAATACCACAGTTACAAAATTATGTGGAGTTGTAGTTCTGGTTTAAGGAAACAAGAGCAAGATGTAAGCTTGGATAGAGACCGAAAAGAAAGAGAAGGGGTGTATTAGTTTTCTATTGCTGTTTAACAAATCAATAAACTAGCAACTAAAAACAACACAAATTTACAAGTTCAAAGTATGTAGGTCAGAAATCCAGGTGAAATATTACTGGATTCTCAGCTTAGTCTATCATCAAGTTGAAATCAATATGTTAGCTAGATTGATTTCAAGTCTGAAGGTTGCAGGAAAAAAGACACTTTCAAGTCTATTTGGTCATTGGCTGAATTCAAATCTTAGCAGGGCATAGAACTGAGACCTCTGTTTCCTTACTGGCTGTCATCTGAGAACTGCTTTCACTCCCAGCAGCTATCCAAATTCTGTATAACATGGTCCATTGCTTCTTTGAAGCCAGAAATAGACGGTTTCTTGCATGAACCCAACTTACACTTCAAAACTTTGACTTCAAGATGACTTCAGCCACTTTTAAGAGCTTACCCTTTTAGGTCAGGCTCAACCCAGATAATCTTCTTACATTCAACTGTGTTATACAAATTACCTAATTACAGGAGGGAGTGAAACTCATCATGTATACATATAATCTAAAGGACTATATAGGGTGATGAGATTTGTGGAAGATCAAACTAGTGCTAAAGGTAAATGGCCACATTATAATTCATGGATAAAATCTAATGTAATTCTGATACAGGAGTGCATGCAAAAAGTTTACAGTAGAGCAGATGTATCTAGTAGAGATTAATAAGAAACAACACTTATTCAAAACAAAACATTTTTTTTTATTTTTCTGACTTTGGACCAACAATGAAGTCTTCATAAAAACACTAAGCACAAATTTAGAAAATTCTACTTGCTTTTTAAAGCTGTAATGAAACTACATAATTAGTAAAAATTAAGTTTAAGAGAGTATTTAGTACATATTTTTGCTTTTGCTTAATCAGTATAAAGGAATGCAAATTATGCACATTTGGATTAATAACATGAACACAATTTCGAAAGAAATTTTACCTAGGCGGACAAAATTGTTTACAGACATTGAACACTTTGTTTAACCATTTATGTTAAGGTGGTTAAGGAAAACAAAAGATATGCCTATTTATATACAGTGTAAAAAACAATGGTTTAGAGTATTTTAAGAGAAATATAAAATATAAAACGTAGGGCTGTTTAGTATAATTTTCTTGAGGAACCAGGCACAATGTTTCATCACACAAAAATTTTGGACAACTACTCTTGATATAACTGGTAATATTACTAATCTCCAGTACAGCCGTGAAAAATACACAATTTCTATTCTAGTAGAGGACACAGATAATAAATGAGAAATAAAATGGTGTTATTTTAAACCAAAATGCCATAGAAGGAGCAAGTGCAAAGTAACAAATTTGAGGGACTGCTATTTTAAGTAGCCTTGCCAAGAAAGTCCTCCATGGCGGTGTTGGAGCAGAGATCTGAAAGAGGCGAGGCAATGAGCCATGTGAGTATCTGCGGGAAAAACATTCCAGATAGACTCTTTCATATTGGAGAGAGTTTCTCAATGTAAACACAACGAAATCATTAACAAAGTCAATATTTCTTATCAAAATTAATTGTTCCAAATCTAATATTAAATTAAAATACGCAACATCCATAACAGAATCATTGTGTTTTGTTATCGGCTGTACTCCCAGTGCGTGTAAGTGTGTCTTTCACAGAGTGGGGGCAATAAATACTTGGGGAGTGGTGGGTCGGGCGCAGTGGTTCATGCCTGTAATCTCAGCACTTTGGGAGGCCGAGGTCGGCGGATCTCTTGAGGTCAGGAGTTCAAGACCAGCCTGGCCAACATGAGGAAACTCTGTCTCTACTAAAAACAGAAAAATTAGCTGGGCATGGTGGTGCATGCCTGTAATCCCAGCTACTAAGGAGGCTGAGGCAGGAGAATCACTTGAACCTTGGAGGTAAAGGTTGCAGTGAGCCGAGATCACATCACTGCACTCCAGCCTGGATGACAGAGCAAGACCTCACAGCAAATAAAATAAAATAAAATACTTGGTGAGGGAATAAATATTGACTTTCAAGAGTTCAATGTTAGATGTAAGCCAATGTATTTTTCAAATGAAAATAGTTTTCTTAGCAAACTGAGTTATCATTTTTGAGACTGCTATAAGCAGCAAGTTTTAAAACACCAAACTGTTAATGGCATTCACTGGGGGAAAGGGTCTCTAATATGCTCAAGTTGTACTAAAGCATTTATTTGGAGAGTTGGTCAAGTAGTTTGGTGATCTTGTCTACAATCTAGGATTTCTCTCGCTTTTCCTAATGCATCGGTGATGTCCTATTACTGTTTGCCAGATGCCTGCATCATGTCAAGCATCTTGTAATCACATGGCAAAGTGCTAAGGAATAGGGAGGGCACATGCACTTTGCACCTTATACTTTTTATTAGTGAGCAACATCATGACCATAAATTCCCTAGAAAAACAATCTAGTTGGAAAGATAATCCCACACTACTAACTTCTTCCTGCTCTGCTAGGTATAATATGGCACAGGAAAGTATGTATCTCAAACTCTTAGTCTCTACCTTAAAAATAGGTTCTGACAGAAGAACTAAGAGGAGTAAGACTGTTGTGTATGTTACCAGTACTGATTGACAGACTATTATTATAGGACTAGTGCGCTATGATGTGTTGTTTAAACCAGTTCAATCTAGGAGCACAGTCATTGCATGTGCACTGCACTAGAATTAATAAAACAATTTCAGACAAGTATGTAAAATCCATTGCATTATTACAAAAACTCTTTTGTTTTTATGCATTAAAACTTTCTGAGAATATATATAAGATGATGTGGTTATTTCTAGACATCAGAACTGAGTAAGAATGAGGAGATTTTAATTATTGTATTACTTTTAGACATGTGTGTGAGTGTGTGTGTGTGTGTGTGTGCGCAAGGGGGGTTGGTGGTTATAGCTTGCATTGTTGTTTCAAATCATTTGCTCCTTATTCCAAGAAGAAAGACTGTATACCTCCTTACCCCATGTGACTTGAGTGTCTCCCTACAAGAGGAGTACTCTATACCTGCTCTGCAACTTGCTTTGGTTCAAACAATATGTGCTGGAACGATATGCGCCAGTCCTGATTAGATACTTAAGAACACGTGTGTATTTCCAACAGTATTCTTGTTGTTTTCTCTCTTGCAGAATAAAATAGGGTGTTAAATTAGGGATGGCAATCAGGCTGGGTTCGCAAATGAGGACACACCTAGGTCAAGAGCAAAGTCACTGCTGGCCCACCATAAAGTGATAACATGACATCATAAACATTAAAGTGTTGGAGTAATTTGTGACTGTGGCCTTACCTTACAAAATCTGGCTAAAACATGTTAATAGTAACATTCAGGTGAAATTGAACCTCAGAATTTTTGTGAATTATTAAAGGTATGATTAAAATTGATATTTTATTCAAAACTTTTTGAGACATAGCAAATAGCATATAGTATTCAATTAAATAAATATTTAGACATATATGACAGACAATACAATTTGTTCTTTGGATCATATAAGTATCTATCAACACAGAATAGAATAATTTGGTTATTCTATAATTCAACATATTTTACCCATATTGTTGAAGTAACAAACTTCAACTTTGTTATTCTGAAAATCCCAAAATGGCATTGAAATTCATATAAAACTTTAATTTTCAGAGTGTTACAATTCACCAGAGATTAGGATGCTAAAAATGCTAATAAGTAGATGATGTCAGTTATTGAAGAAACCTAGAGGTAGGTCCAGATAGTCTGATTGAAGTCATAAAGTTTAAGGAATTTCCCAAATGAAAGGCTTTTGGTAGGTAGCACAGGCATTTTGACAGGCTTATTGTAAAGGGCTCTCATGTTTTCTGTCTCTCACAACACCAGAAATACTTTCAACCACGATTCTATTTTCCTGACACATTTCAAATAAAATACGGGTGTGTAAAACATTCCACAAAATAAATAGTATAAGACCGTAGTTACGGTGGAGGATTCATAAAACAAAGATATTCTTGCCCAGTAACAAATGATTTTTTAAATGCAAAAGTTTTATACTTCAGAAGACATGATAAAGAATATTTAGCCCATTACTCCAACTATATTATCCTTAAGACCAAGAATAAATAATAAAATATAAATGTTTCCTAGGTATTACTATGTGTCAAGTGATGAGCTCATCTTTTTTACATATGTCATGTGTTCCTCATAATAACTATATCAAGTATTCCTCACATACTCACTGATACATATACTGCATGGAGTAACCACTATTATTATCAGGGTAGGATTATAAATGTGATGTAAATGGCATTCCCCTGACTTGGGGGCAAGTTGCTTGGGTAGAAGTGGTTCTGGCTATTATTACCACTTTTTCAGAAGAGCAAAAAGAAATTTAGAGATACACAGGATCACTTATTTAAGTACAAAAGTATAGTAAGGGAAAAAACAGCATTTTAATCAGTCAATCTCTTTTGTAGAAGGCTTCTAAAAATTTTGCTATCTATAAATCTCATACAAAAATTATTTATAAGGAAAATCAGATGTAAAATACAAAAAAGAAAAAAAATTGGTAGTTTGTATGATTCAATTAAAATCAGGTTGGTTATATGTAACAATATATGTATTTATATTATTTTTAATTTGATAATTTACTTTCATATATTGAATATTAAACCCTAGAAAATAATAAAATGTACATTCAAAAGTTAAGAACAATTTATAGCAATGAATATTAGAGGGATCTTGATAGCTTAGAACTTGATAATACTATAATTATATTTGACAAAAGGAAGTCAAAATCTTATTCATTTATAAAATTTTTGTACAGTCTTTGAGAATGAGAGTAGTAGTTCATTCTCATGACTATAGCTTGATATATATAAAGCTCTACAGATAGAAAAATATATATCTCATAATTCATAGGTCTTATATATATTTTATGACCTATTACTTGATATGTTTACTCAAGCAATATATCAATTTGTTACGTGTTATATATCTTATAAATAGTATATGTAATTATTAATATATATACACAAATCCCCTTTTATTTTGCTACAATGGAACTCTCTTTTCAACTATTTCTATTGTGTACTGCTTACCCGATCTCCATCACTATGTACTCTAGAATCTTGACTAAAATTGTCAGGTGGAGTCCAAAACTGTATTATAAATTTACAATCCTCTACATTAATCTTTTGGGTATTTTATATTTTAATTTAGTAATATTACGCTTTATAAGTTATGATATTTATGTGTTAAATTAAAATGATGTTAATAGTCATATAAAGAAAAGTCTCCCTTATGCTTGAGAGCTCTAGTCTCCTTCATGGAGGAAATATATATTTTTTAATTAAAGTGAAGACTTAACACTAACTTAGTTTGTAAACCAAACTTCCATATTTCAATTAAAATAAGGACTGAGAGTATTCCTTATATGCATGTATAGAACTATTTTTATTGCTTTTTAACTTTTGTAGAAGATTCCATAATGCAACGTGTCAAATCCGGAGTCTTTCCATGGATATGTAGGTTGTTTTGATCTATTTCTACATGAATAATAATTGTAATGATACATTTTCAGGAGTTGCAATTGCAGAATTAATTCCTGGAAGGAGTCTTGTCCTGGTTAACTGTGTTTCTCTCCTGGACTTCACAACTTTTATTCCAAGAGTCTTAAGGCAGTCCTGCATCCCAGTGTCATGCCACTCTTTGACCCCACTTCTCATAACTCCTCAAATGCAGAAATCTTTCGATCCTCCCCTCCACCTCTGAAACTCAGAAAATCTCCCAAATCTCCTAATTTTTCTCTAAATAGTACCTTCATTATCTTGTTCAACTCAAAATCTTATCCTGCCCTGAAGCCACTTCTCTTGCAGCCTCTCAAGTGGGATATTCTCTTCCTTTGTAGTCTTGGTCATATCAAGAGTCCTGGAGTGGAGCAGACACCCTATTTGCCCTTCATTTCGGCTACCAGAATATTGTCTTTCTTCTTGTTAAAGACTCTCAGTTTGGAATCTCAGGTGAACAGAATTAACCCGCCCTCTCAAAAACCCTTTGATTCCATTTTGAGCTACAATCCATGAACTCTTTTTGTACATAACTTTCATCACAGTCTTTACTCTGTTCTAATTCACCTTAACTTAAATAATTATCATTTTTCCTCTGACTCTACCTCAAACCATTTGCCCATCATTGCTTTAAATAATCCCCTAGAAAAGTAAAGAAAAATTTAATCCACACTTTTGACAATGGAGTTTAACTTGTTTGAAATGAAATACATAACCATGCTGACTGATTTTCTTTAAATGTATGACTTGGGTTTTGCGGAGCATTCAGTGTTAGCAAACATTTGTATATTTTCCCGATGCAGCTATGCTCATATTTTACTTTTGTTAAATTTTTCCTGACACCACCAACACATCTTTTTCTGCCTTTATTCACATCCAAATATTTTCCTTTGTGGTTCACTGAAAAATTAGGAAGAATTGGGGCATATTTCCACAAGTTCTAACCATCACTTCTACCAACTTATTTGATACTCTGCCTAAGAAAATCTCTGCCTATCTCCCCATTACAGCAAAACTCCATATGTAAAGATAAAATTCATCTCCTTCCATCCCCCCTTGAATGTCCTCCACACCAATCATATTTTTCCCCATCAAAACGCTGAAGCTATGCTTATTAAGGTCACAGTGATATCAGTGTTGCTAAATCCAATATCAATTTTATATTACAGAAGACAGTATATTAAGTATTATCTTTTTAAATTGTTGCCATGTCACCATCCTTTCCTGGTGTCTTTCCTACAGCACTTGTCCCTTTTCTTCGTCTCCTCCTTCATTGTCATCTCTGACACCTCTTAATGTCGAAACTCACCTTTTATCATTTCATACATCCTCTTACTTTAAATATCATCTGAAAGCTAATGGCCCCTAGATTAATATCTCAGTCTTAACCTCTTCTTTGATCCTCAGGCTTCCATATAATTATGCAATTGACATCTCCTCTTGATGACCGTAGGCTCCTCAACCTTAAAATGAACAGCAAGCTGACTCCACATTCCATCACACTGTTACCTTGCAAACCCGATTTGCAGTAAATGACCTTTATTATTCTGGTCACTTATGCCAGCAACTTTGTCATCTGCAATCCCTGTCTTCTCTTATATCCTACAACATTCTCATCAGTATATATTGTTGGCATTACCTTAAAAAATATACCCAAGCAACCATCTTTTCTGACCTGGATTACTGCAATAGTCTCCTAATTCATCTTACTCCACATCTGTTCTTATTACTCTGTAGCTATTCTCAGCCAGAGTCAGCTTATAAGCCAAAACCTAAATAAGATCATGGCACTCATCATCTCAAATTTTTACAATGGCTTTCCACCTCAGAGTAAATGTCAGTCTTTACAATAATGTTCAAAACTCTGCATGGTGTGTTTTTTCTCTCCCTTTGTCTCTCTCCCTCCTCTCCTTGTTATTTTCCCTTTTATTTTCCAAACTATATTGTGATTCTTATCTAAAAAAATTTTAGACAAGCTCTATATTCAGAAACTTTGTCCAACCCTGCCTTTAAAACTGAATCTTTCCTTCCCGATGTGTACATGGAATATTTGCTTCCTTCTTCCAGATCTCTAACAAAATGTCACCCTCACAGTCACAACCCTCTTACCCCAGCACTTGCCAGTGCATGCCTTGCTTATTATTACCAGCTGATGAAGTACATGTTTGACCTTAAACATTTGATACATTAAAACAAAGTACTAATGTGATTGTCACCTATCTCCCATCTCTGGAATGTAATGAAATTGAAATTTGGCTTGCTTGTTATTTTTTTCCTGATTTCCTAGCTTGGAAAGTATTTGGAACAAAGGGGTACTCTGAAATGCTTATTGACTTAATGAATCTGCCAGATATTGTCAGATTGCCTTCTAAAGTTGCTGTTCAACAAGCAGACTCTCACTGTATCAAACTGTCTTTTTTCACATCATGTTCACCAATGTTTTGCATTATAAAACTGTTTGCTTTTATTTTAGAAATTGGTAGGTGGAAACACCTGTCACATTATTACTTTAAATTGCATTTTATTAAATTACGAGGTATGTTCAGCACATTTCAATGAGTGTGTGTGTATGTGTGTGTGTGTCTTAATGCTGGTGGCTACATGCCCATTTATTTTGCCCACTTTAGATAAACTTTTGCTCCTTTTCTTATCATTTTTTTAAGGATTATAAATATCTTTAGGAACTTGGCATTTGGCTATGGGTTGTATTATTCATATTTCCCCACTTTTATTTATTTTTTACCTATGAACACTATTTTTTATTATCCTGTCAAATTGAATGTATTGAAATTTATCCGTCTTGGTTTTGATTTTCTGAATTTGTGACATGCTTTAAAAAGTAAAAAGTAGTTCTTCAAATTCAAGTCTTAACAGAGATAAGAAAAGGCTTACATGAGAATACACACAAATATATTATGCTAAGCTATATTCAGTTAACCTTACAATAAAGTTAACAATAATATGGAAAGGCAATTTGCAAAGAAGTGATTATACTCTCTCTTCACTAGAGGATTTGAGAAGCCTATATATACAGGCCTAAAAGAAAAGTCAATACTGCTGCCTTTTTAATTCTCTTTTTTCATTTTTTGGATTTAATGACTTTTCTAACAATTTTCTGCATTTTTCATACTGCTGCATTCACTACATGTATTGCATGATAATGAATAAAATAATTACAGAGAAATTTTATCATTTATATCTGTTGATTGGAATATAGTTTTTATATAGTTGTAATAAATAAATAAATGTGTTAAATATATCATAGGAACTAAATTGTGGACAATTTAGGAATTTCCCTGCCTGCTTTTGTATTTTGCACTGGAAGTATCTGCACTGTTTTTCTATTGACTGTGTAATCATTTTCACTTGGCCTTTTGGCAATGTGAATACTTGTGGAAACCATCATGGATATAAAGGGGGAAAAATACTAGGTTGAATACCTCTGTAAGTTCTTACATTCAATATCTGATGCTTATCTAAAAATGTGTGTTCAGTAATATAAGCATTAAATTTACACAGATGAGAAAAATATTGTAAGTGACTTATCCAATATTACAACGTTACATCATTTTTTTAAGTGGTGAAACAACACAGAAACTGCTGCCTCATTATTTTTGGAAAAAAAAAATAATTCTAGTACTTCATGTTATTTGGGCCAAAATCCATGAAAATCCACTAACTGATTCCCTGTATTTGAGAGTGGATGAGAAATTCATTTTTTTCCACATGCATCATAATAAAATACACTGAGACCTATAGGATCACCAGTAGGCAGCCATGCAAGAAATTGCATTTGAACTTTCCAAACAGAAAGAGAAGAAAGTACATTAGATCTGAGAGAGAATGCATTTCACATAATGAAGCAACGATGAAGGCCAGTGAGCCAGGAGAGGAGTAAATGAGGTGTGTATGGGGGAAGGAGAGAGAAAAAAGGGATTGTTACCAGAAGTCAGAGAAGTAGACAGAAGCCAGATGTAGGCATTGCTTTTTTGTTTTTTCATTCACATCTTTATCTACTTGATTTATAGCTATTAAACACACTTAATAATTTTGTTTTTTTATGATAGCAGCTATATAAGTAGAACCTCCAAAGGTGGTAGAATGGGGTGAGATAGATGGCCTATGAAAATATTCTTAAGATCTATATTTGAATCAACCTAATTATAAATACAGATGAATGCTACATAGTTAATAAATATAAGGCTTACATTCTGATTATACTACTATTTGAAGGTTAATGAGTAAGTAACTGTATCTGTTTGTTATTAGCACATCATCAATATACTGTTGGAGGATTTTTAAAATATTTCATGGAGCAGTAAAGTGAATATTAATAATCGATATAAGGAGATTTTATTAATAAACTGTATTTCTAATAAATTACATTTCTGAGCAAAGGTAAGACTTGCTTTGTCGTACCACTTTGAATTTTGTGACTTAAAAAAACCAGGCTTTTCTTATGAAAAACATGGTACCCTCACTTAGTGACTTTGCATAAGTTCTTAATTTCAGTACTAATTTAAATAACTCCATTGTCTTACTACATTGAGAAGAAGGAAATGAGTCACCTTGTTTCAAAATGTGAAGAAGTGACATCTTTGATATTATTAGTGTCTGCACTGTGTGAGGAAAGCTGATTTTATGTGCTGGTGCAAAACCCATGGCTCATAAACTCAACAGAGGTGAGTGAGTTATGATAGTTTTGGAAATACATTAATGAAATTCTCCAAACATCAATATGGTACATTAGTCTTCATCACATTTGGCTTTATTAAACACACAGATAGATGGGAAGCTGTCATGTATGCCAATTGTTTTGCTTTATCAAAATGACCTAAGGAAATATAAATGTGCTATTTTTTTAAAAGCTATTTTAACATCATGTGTGAATGATAACATTTCATAGTTTGATGATTTAAAGAATGAGATAGTTCAGGATTTTGTCATCATCGTGATTTAACATTCATCAAAGACCTATAATATGTTGGATACCACAGGGGAGGGGGGAAAAGGACACTGCCAAGACACAGTCTCTGCCCTTAATTTATGTTTACTTATTTTCTCTAAAGACTGAAGAAAACATAATTTTTGCTTCATAGAACAGGTTTTGAAAGCTAATGCTTTTTATCAAAATCAATGGGGCTTATGCCATTGGAAAGGACTAAATTGATCTGTTCATTTCAAGGTAAAATAGACATTAAAATGGAAGTTATACCAACTAATAAACATTCAAACGTTAACCTCATTGAAAGAAATATTTCTATAGATACCTAATTATATAAATTTTTAGTTTTTTGACATTCTTGAATAGGAATGGCAAACACAACTTACAATCAGGATTTTTATAAATTTACTTTTATTTTGGACCATAATATAATAGATTATGTAATCAATTTATAACTTGAAACAGGAAAGTGGCTGTTATTTTCAAAATGTGATGTAATACATACTTCAGCTCTCTGAGACATTCCTTTAATATCACCTATATATTATCGTCAGAGTAAACTATTTCAACACCAAGACCAAACACATCTTTCTTTTCAAATACAGCTTCCATAATTCTCTTAGGCATATTCTCTCCTGCAGTGTAACTTATACATATAATAATATATTTTAATATGATGATTAAAATCTAAATTGATTATATGTGTATATACATGTATAGGTGTATACATATATATGTGTATATGTATCCCTTTGCCTATAATTGCTTTCTATATGGCAAGAAAAAGATTATGTTGCATGACTGATGCATTGCACAAGTTCCTCAGGAAAGGACGCTTTTCTTTCAGTTGCTGTTATTTAATTATTATTGTTATTATTATTATGACAGTTATTGCTGAGTGTCATATTTTTTATCCCTGGTCATAATGCAGTACTATCTATTCTCTAAGCACTCATTGTTATTAGGTGAGTATATATATACACATATATACACACACACATATTGTATGAATAGTAAGGAGAAGCTTTTTAAACATTTGATGAAGATTAAAAAGTAAAGGAATTAATATGCATTAAGCACATTAAATGCAGGCCGGGCGAAGTGGCTCACGCCTGCAAGCCCAGCACTTTGGGAAGCTGAGGCGGGCGGATCACAAGATCAGGAGTTCAAGACCACCCTGGCCAACATGGTGAAACCCCGTCTCTACTAAAAAAATACAAAAAATTAGCCAGACATGGTGGCACGCGCCTGTAATCCCAACTACTGGGGAGGCTGAGGCAGGAGAATGGCTTGAACCCAGGAGGCGGAGGTTGCAGTGAGCCGAGACTGTGCCACTGCACTCCAGCCTGGGTGACAGAGCAAGACTCTGTCTCAAAAAAAAAAAAAGAAAAAAGTATGTTAAATGCAACAAAAATGTTTATTCCAATGCTATATTTACATTTTTCATATGTTTCATTGTATTAATTGTATAAAAATATAAAAAATTTAGAAATTTGTTGGCAGTATTATTGTAATATTTTGATGTCTTCCAGATTTCTGACATTACCTTGAGGTAAGTATAGATATGAGTCTATTAATGTGAAGAAATTAGAGTGTGAATTATTTTTACCGATTTAAAAAGTTATTTTGTCAATAATCATGTAGTCGAATAGTAGCATTGTTAAGGGAAATTTAAATGTCACTAATGTTGTGACAGTATCATTTTAAAATCAAACATTTCAATTACTGGCTTTCTAAATACATTTATTAGAATACAGCATAAATATTAGCATATATAGAGACCCTATATTGAAAGTAGAATACAATAAATGGTCTCTAGTGATTTCCAATCTGGTTTCTATGCATCCTACTACAAGCAGCGTATATCAACATAGATCATTAAAGTTATGCGTATCTGAAAACTAATATGTAGTTAAAAATACAAGCTTTACCTCCACATTCAAATTATAATATCATAAACCTAAGGCAATGGAAGAGAATGATTAAAGACAGCTAATTGGTCACAATCATTTATTTATTCTCTGACCAAAAGTATCAATCATTATAGAAAGAAAATAAAATGTTATGAATCAAACAATGAGGAACATTAGAGTGGGTTTCATTGAGGCTACCCAAAATTGAAATTCAATTTCAATTAGAAATTTCAGTTAGAAATTAGAAATTGAAATTCAATTTCAATTAGAAATTTCAATTAGAAATTGAAATGATTTCTAACTTTTGCAAATTTCACATACGGTTAGTTCAGGTTTCCTAGGGTTTCACATGTAAATTTTTATCTTTCTCTTCTTTGCTATAGTGGAGCCCTGTAACCTACATTATGCCAATTGGATATACACCATTAGGGCTTATTTTCTGCATTATGAAATATGATGCCACTAAATGCAGGTTAATTTTCTAGCAATCATGATGGCAGAGGTGTTCAGTTTTTCAAAAGCAGTCATGGTAATTTTCTTGTTACCCAATAACTAGATGCCAAACTTGGGGAGAATGGCTTTTGTACATTCGTTGTTGCAGTATGTAGCTTCATAATTTGATTCTTGGGCTACTTAGAAGATTCTGTGAACCAACTTATATCCAGTAATGAAAGCATTTTCTTTCTTTAACTATCAAAGACTGGATTTTTATTATTTAAAAGTGTGTGGTGTTCAGAGACTGATTTAAGTAATAATAAAACTCCAGTCCCCTGCACAGCCGGCCCTGTATGAATTATTCTTTCTCTACTGCAATTCCCCTGTTTCGATAAATTGGCTGTCTAGGCAATAGGCAAGGTGGACCCGTTGAGCAGTTACAAATCTGGGGGCTTGTTGGGATTGCCCCTGCGCATACTTGCCAGTGGTTTCGTAGCTGTCCTCTGGCGACGGATCCAGAGGCCAGCCCAAGCGACTGCCTAGTTCTCTTTGACTGGGGGCTGACTCTGGTACTGTCTCTACTAGCAAGGCACTGCCAACCCAATGTACATAGATTTAATTGCAATAGACAAGTAGTCCTGGGGAGATGTCTCATAACTGTAGCTTCACGGTGGGATGTCTGCCTATAGCTCCACCACAGGATGTCTGTAACTGTAGCCCCATTATGAGGTGTCTGATTTGGTGAGTATTCTGGGTGCTGCCAATACCCCTTTCCTTCTCCCAGTTGGTTCGGTTACTTTGGAGCCTCCATTTGACTCCTTTGGGGGTTTTGGTTCAGCTCCTTAGGGGTCTTGGTTTGGCTCTGTTGGGGGTCTCAGTTGGCTCTCCCTAATTAGTGATAAGTGTCTTGGTTCAGGAGATCTCCCCAATCTGGAATATTTCGGGCAGATTCCTCAGACGGAGAGTAGAAGGTTAGTTTGGAAAAAATAGTTTATGGAATTCTTGGTCAGGGGTCTTGGTTTGGAAGGTCTTCTGTCTCTCTTGTCTTTGTTGTGTGTGTATTTGTATATGTGGATGGGATCTCTGAAGGAACTGCTGATGAAAGTCTAGCAGGCCCAACTCAGAGAATCTCTCTTATTTATCTGGTCACTTTTGGAGAGCGCTGAAGACAGCTCAACAGTCCTGACTCAAGGTGACCTTCTGCTCTTTGTCTCTCGCCCAGAGACCGTCCATTGAATTCTGGTCAGAGGTCACTGCTCCCCATGTTGCATGGATCACAGATGACAGAGACCAACAGGAGAAAGTTTGAGCCTTGCCAGGTTAATGTTGGGTGCTGAGCGAGGTGACTACTGTCTGTTTTCTTATGTGTATTTTGATTCAGTTAAGATGGAAAATGTTCATTCAATTCCCCATGCAACCTGTTGGGCAGCTTCTTGAAAAATTGAGAAGCTTTTCCCTATGGTTCCATAAAACAGAACAATATTATTTTCCTTTGTAAAGTAGCTTGATCCCCACAGCTATGGCACAGTGAGTAGAGTCATCAAAAGCCTCTCTGTTACTCTGGAAGCTGCAGAGAAAGGGAACCTGGAAACCCGGTATACTGGCAAAGAGGGTGGGAAATTCTTACCAACCAAGTTTCTGGTCTCTCCCTCTCTCTTTCTCTCTCTCTGTGTGTGTGTGTGTGTGTGTGTGTGTGTGTAAATGGTAAACCCCACTGTTTGTCTCCTCAGCCAGGGTTTGATTAATAGAAAAAAGGATTTGTGAGACTAAGTGTTAGGCTGTAGCAAATCTGGTGTACTTTGTGATAAGAATTTTTCTTTCTGAGATGTTCTGTAATGGAGAGAGGGTTATATGGTTAGTCTTTGTGTCCCCACCCAAATCTTGTCTTGAATTGTAATCCCCATAATCCCCACAATTCTCACGTGTCAAGGGAGAGACCAGGCACAGGTAATTGAATCATGGGGAGCCTTTTCCCTATGCTGTTCTCATGATAGTGAATGAGTTCTCACAAGACCTGATGGTTTTATAAGGGGCTCTTCCCCCTTTGTTTGGCAATTCTCCTTCCTGTTGCCTTGCAAAGAAGTTGCCTTGCTTCCCCTTTGCCTTCTGCCATAATTGTAAATTTCCTGAGGCCTCCCCAGCCATACTGAATCATGAGTCAATGAAACCTCTTTCCTTTATAAATTACCCAGCTTGGGGCAGTTTTTTATAGCAGTATGAAAATGGACTAATATAGTAAATTGATACCGAGAGTGGGGCACTGCTATGAAGATATCCAAAAATGTGGAAGCAAAACTTTGGAACTGGGTAACAGGCAGAGGTTGGAATAGCTTGAAAGGTTCAAAAGAAGACAAGAACATATGGGAAATTTTGGAAGGTCCTGGAGACTTGTTGAATGGCTTTGACCAAAATGCTGATAGTGATATAGTCAATGAATCTAGGCTGAAGTGGTCTCAGAGAGAGAAGATAAATTCTTTGGGAACTGGAGCAAAGGTGACTCTTGCTATGCTTTAGCAAAGAGACTGGTGGCATTTTGCTCCTGCCCTGATCTGTGAAAATTTTAACTTGAGAGAGATAATCTGAAATTGGAACTTATGTTTAAAAGGGAAGCAGAGCATAAAGGTTTGGAAAATTTGCAGCCTAACAATGCAATAGAAAAGAAAAAAAACATTTCTAGGAAGAAATTCAAATGTTAATCACCAAGACAATGGGGAAAATGTCTCCAGGGCATGTCAGAGGGCTTCCTGGCAGCGTCTCTCATCACAGGCTTGGAGGCCTAAGAGAGAAACATGGCTTGATGGGCTGGGCCTAGGGCCTTGCTGCTTTGTGCAGTTTGGGGACTGGATGCCCCACATCCCAACTGCTTCAGCTCCAGCTATGGCTAAAAGAGGCCACGGTACAGCTAGGGCCATTTCTTCAGAGGGTACAAGCTCCAAGCCTTGGTGGCTTACATGTAGTGTTGGGCCTGCAGGTGCACAGAATTCAAGAATTGAGGTTTGGGAACTTCCACCTAAATTTCAGAGGATGTATGGAAATGCCTCAATGTCTAAACACAAGTTTGCTTTGGGGTGGTGCCCTCATGGAGAAACTCTGCTAGGGCAGTGCAGAAGGGAAATGTGAGGTTGGATACCCCATACAGAGTCCACACTGGGGCACTGCCTAGTGGAGCTGTAAGAAGAGGGCCACCATCCCCCAGCCCCCAGAATGGTAGATCAACCAACAGCTTCCATGCTCCTGGGAGAGCTGCAGACACTCAACACCAGCCTGTGAAAACAGCCAGGGATGGGAGCTGTACCCTGAAAAGCCACAGGGGTGGAGATGCCCAAGATCATGGGAACCCACCTCTTGCATCAGCATAACCTGAATGTGAGATATTGAATCAAAGGAGATCATTTTGAAGCTTTAAGATTTGACTGCCCCACTGAATTTTGGACTTGCATGGGGACTGTAGTCTCATTGTTTTGGTCAATTTCTCCCATTTGGAGCAGATGTATTTACCCAATGCTGTACCCACATTGTATCTCAGATGTAGCTAACTTGCTTTTGATTTTACAGGATCATAGGCAGAAGGGACTTGCTTTGTCTTGAATGAGACTTTGAACTTGGACTTTTGGGTTAACTCTGGGATGAATTAAAACTTTGTAGGACTATTGGGAACGCATTTTTGGTTTAGAAATGTGAAAGGGATATGAGACTTGAGGGGGACCAGTGGCAGAATTATGTGCTTAGAATTTGTGTCCCCACCCAGATCTCATATTGAATTGTAATTCGCATAATCTCCATAATCCCCATGTGTTAAGGAAGAGACCAGGTGTAGGTAATTGAATCATGGGGGCTGTTTCCCCTATGCTGTTCTTGTGATAGTGAGTGAGTTTTCACAAGATCTGATGGTTCTGTAAGGAGCTCTTCCCCCTTCATTTGGCACTTCTCCTTCCTGTCACCTTGTGAAGGAGGTGCCTTGCTTCCCCTTCAGCTTCCACCATGATTGTAAATTTCCTGAGGCCTCCCCAGCCATGCAGAACTGTGAGTCAGTTAAACCTCTTTCCTTTATAAATTACCCAGTCTCGGGCAGTTCTTTATAGTGGTATGGAAATGGACTATTACAGAGGGGTATCACAGGATAGAACATAGGTTTAGGACTCCTATAAGCCTGCTTTCAAGCCAGCCCAGCAGGTTGGTCAGTTACAAACTTTGCTGCAAGTCCCTAAAACCAGTACCAGATGAAATTTCTCTGTCTTGTTTTCTGTACGTAACAGCTTAACCTTGTGATCATGTGGGGCTACTTTCTCTTGTTGTCCACCATCAAGAGGATGGGTATTAGGAGTTCATGTCATAGTAAGCCGTAAAAATCATCTTAAGCAGTTATAAGCCTTTGCAAGCTTGAAATTGGCTGTACTGGGCTTCTAGGAGATGCAATAGAAAGTGCTCAATGCTGTAACTCAGGAGCCAAGGCTATGTCTTTTGACAATGGCAGCCTGAGTTCATCTCTTTGCTGCAGGAATGAGTCCTTTCTGGTTTATTATTTGTGTAACTTTGTCATTTATTGAGATTTCCCCCCCATGTCTTGAATTTTTCTTTCCCTGAACTACCCTTGGGGAGATTCTAAATCTTATTAAAAAAAGAAAAGAAAGAAAGGAAGAAGGAAAGAAAGAAAGAAAGAAAGAAAAGAAAAAAGAATTCTGTGGTTACAATCAGCTTAATTAAAAACAGATATCTAAGCTCTACACATATTTAAAAAGGCTTTATGTTTTTTCTCTTCTTGGGCCATATTTTTCTGAAAGAAAAAAAAGTGTTTTTCTTCTCAGTCAATTGAATTGTTTTTCTTCATTTTTCTTCTTGCCTCTCTTGATGCCCATATGAGAAAACCTAAGATAATTACCACAGCCTGGGACTCCTGGGGAAAAACCCCGTTCTGGGAAAAACCTCTGTTTTCCTCATGGAACCCCAGGAAGTGAAAACAGATATATACTTCTCAAAATCCAAGGCTCTGTTATACTTTACATTATGTTACCTGATTTTTTTGACTTTTGGGGATATCAGAAATTACTTTGCATTGTGTGAGGGATGGCTAATGACAGTTATGGAGGGATACTTGGCTCTTTACATACTTGGATCAGAGAAGCATGCTGTTGGCCACATGGAAAGTATGGAAACATCCCCACCTCCCCACCCCCCAACTGAGAGATGAGAGTGCCATGGGGGATGCGCTGATTCCAAAATGAGTTGAAAATGCTTTAAGGTCATAAACTGCTTCTTTGACTTTTGAAAATTGTTCAACTTACCTGCTTTGGAGCCATTAGATTCTAGATAAGGCCTGGGAACATATGGAGTTAGCCATGTCCACTACCTATGATGGAAACAAGTCAGACCTTATTTGATCTTCGGTCTGGTGTCCTAGACTCCACACCTAGTACATAATTAAAATCACTTACTTAACAGGTTTTTCACCAAAAATAAAAGTTGCGAAAAACTAACATTGTAACATGTAGCAGCAA
Source organism: Homo sapiens (assembly GCF_000001405.40). Lineage (NCBI taxonomy): Eukaryota > Metazoa > Chordata > Mammalia > Primates > Hominidae > Homo > Homo sapiens. The sequence goes on from NC_000013.11 coordinate 84,792,755, forward strand.
CTACTGTAGAAACAGTTTTACATACAAGGTGTATAAGGAAAGTAGAATGTGTTTTTGGTAAAAGATTATAAGGAGGCATGGGAATATGGTTTTTGTTAAAAAGAATGTAATTTTGTCTAGCTCAGAACATTTTAAAAATTGTCTTAAACTGAAAGAATAGTGGGACAAAACTGAAAATTTAAGTAAGTTGAAAAGGGTTCATGAAGGGTTAGTATTATAAAGTTCTGTGAGTCTGAGCAAGTTGGCTAAGATTTGAAGGTGATTATTTACTTTTTTTCCCCATAGGTTGAACATTTAAATAAAAGCACACTGACACAGGGCCAGAATCTGTGCCCATGTGTCTGAATAACAGGGTTCTCTAAGAAAACTGATCTTCTGTTTAACAGAAAATTGTAAAGGGTTCTTAAAAGTTTATTAAAACATTACCTTATGTTTAATTCAAATTAGACAGATTTATAAAATTTTATTAAAAACTAGTTTTGGCATGAAAGGTGCACTAATGAGAACATGAAATTAGGTTTTCTCTTTTAAAAAAAGATTTTTTATATAATATTAAAAGATAACAAAAGGTTTTTGTTTGCTCTTTGGGTAAATACCAGTATAAAAGAGAGGAGAGAGAGAAGAGATGGATTCAATTGGCCTCATGCTATCTTAATTGGGCCTTGTTGTTTCAAATGCTAAGTCTCCTCTATCAGAGTAAAGCTTTTTCCCTTTTAAAATTTTGGAGTTATTGTTATGGCCAAATGAATGACTTATGGTTACCTGGAATTCTATTTTGTGATATTCAGTGTTTTAAAACTTTGATATTTCATAAACTTTCCAAAATCAAATTATAAAGTATGTCTTTTTCTGACATAATTAATCTTTTAGATGTTAGGTCCCCTAAAGTCCAAAAATAACATATTTGGCTTATTTGGTATATTCATACAGGAAGCATTGTCAAATATGAAATGGTGTTTGGCTTTCTTTGGGCTGTATTTATATAAGTATGCTATTAATATGTGTTCCAAAATTATGGGAAGCTTCTGTAATTCTAATATGATTTAGTGTATATTATAAATAATTATAATTGTTATGTAAAATTATTGTATGCCACAAAAGTACCAGATTCCTAGTCAATTACAGCTTTAACAGTGGCTATCCTAAGACTTTTGTCATCCACAGGCAATTTTGTCTTTTTTTGATCTGTCTCAAAAGGCAGTTTTTAATCAGAGATAGGGATCTGATGGGGTATTCTTGAATGCACCTCTCTGATAACTTTAAAATTGTTGTTACTGGAATAGAGGAAAAAAACAAACTTCTGGGGCTCTCATGGAGAGTTGATGTATTAACCATTGCTAATCCTTTTGTTTTCAGAGTCAAAAAAACTTAGTTCTTTTTAGCTATTTACATATTTTAGCAAGTGAGTAAAGTCTCCTGGGAGATAAATTTGGAGCATATTGCTTTCATTCTACTTTATTTCTCCAGCATTTAGAACCTATTTGGGAGTAATCTCAACTTACGGCAGTATAGTTATTAGCATCAGTGCAATAAGAATACATTTTCATTCATAACAGGACACAATTGGAGAAACTGTTTTCTTACCAAGCAAGGCTTTGACCAGAATGGCATGCTTTCTTTAAAGAATCAAAGTTGACTTATAGAGCCAATAAAAACCCCTTTGGGAAATCTGGCCTTATACCTTGTCTACCCAGTCCCTGTACAAGGTTCCTGACCTGTGATAAATAAAGAATGTCACTTTCTGATAGGCCCAGGAGCACCAGATTATCTTGGGACCTCGAGGAGAGGAATTCACAGGTATTTGTAGTGAAAGATAAATCCATGGCTGGGCTTCAGGGCTTTAAAAAGGTACAATCTGAGACTCCTTATAGAGCAAAGTTTCAGCAAAGCCAATATTAGAAAGAACCTAGATGGCAAGTAATTATTCCTACTGCATTTCATGCAAATAATTAGGAAGAGAACAATAATACTAAAACTTATTTTACCAGTAAATTTGACCTGGTATGATTGATTTTTTATAAAAATGACAACTGGAGAGAGAAAAATTATGCTTCAAAAAAACCAAAAACAGCTATAGTACACCTGTTGTTAGTTGTTCTTCGGTGTTTTTTCTGACGTTTGGGCTAAATCCTAAATTCTTTGTGGGCTACAAGTTCCCAAACTAATGCTTTCAAATCTTTACGTTTAAAACTGGGAATTGCACTCCTGGTTCTGGAACTCATTATTTACCTTATAGTACGCTGCTCCCGGAATGCTGTACTAAAGCTATAAATGATACTTTCTAATGCCTTTGTCATGCGAGCCTTGGAACCCCAGAACGGTCTGTGTGAGTACACTCAGACAGTTGCAAAGTGGTTCCACTCCTCTCACCTTGGGGTCAACACCTACCCCCACTATGACCTTGCTTAGCAGGAAGAAGTTAGAGTGGTCTTTGCCCACTTTTCATATTGTTTAGTCAACATCTTAAGGTTAAGATGTTTTGAAACTCAAAGGGATGGATTGAAACTGCCATAGTAAAATTATAATTGAGACAGTGAAAGAGAGCTAACCTAACTTCATTTCGCTTCTAACCTACAAGCTGTCCATGTTCATTCCTGGGCATAGGCTGAACTAACTTTGGGAGGAACCTAGTTTATAGTTTAAAACAGAGACAAAAACAGTCCTTTCCCAAAACAAACCTCCTTTTTGCCTGGGAACTAGACTGCTTTTTTAGAACTAACAAATTGGCCACAAAATTAGCAATTATGGTTTAAGAGTCATGTAGCTGGCAGCTGAAAGATTCTGACCCACCCTAAATTGCTCTTGGGGACAACATCACTATTATAAAACCTTAGATCAGTGCCTGAGATATTTCGCAGACCCTGCACTTGATGGATGAGCTGGTGCTACCCAGATTGTTAAACTGGCTCATCTGATCTTGTAGCCCCCACCCAGGAACTGACTCAGCACAAGAAGACAGCTTCAACTTCCTACGATTTTATCTCTGACCCAAACAATCAGCACTCTCGATTTACTGGCTTCCCCCATACCTACCAAATTATCCTTAAAATCTCTGATCCCCAAATGCTCAGGGAGACTGATTTGAATAATAATAAGACTCTGGTCTCCCATTCACCAAAAAAAGTGTGTGTTCTAGGAAAAATAACATATTCAAGAATATACTTATTAGATTTCTTATCTGATCTGGTGCAAATGCAACACTACAGGACAGGACACTGGGAGTCAAGAGCATAGAGTAGTGAATGTATTCATAGTTATCATGTTTGTTCATAGTGCCTATAGAAGGCAAGGTGGTGACAAACCAAGGGCTACTTCAGATGGCACAGACGATTTTATTGATAGCATATGAAACTCAGGTTTTAAATTCTTGGCTCAAGACACAATTATAGAAAATGGAGATTTTGGCCAGTCACTGTGGCTCATGCCTGTAATCCCAGCACTTTGGGAGGCCGAGGTGGGCAGATCCCCTGAGGTCGGGAGTTCGAGACCAGCCTGACCAACATGGAGAAACCCTGTCTCTACTAAAAATACAAAATTAGTCAGGCGTGGTGGCCTGTAATCCCAGCTACTGGGGAGGCTGAGGCAGGAGAATCGCTTGAACCTGGGAGGCGGAGATTACAGTGAGCCAAGATCGTGCCATTGCATTCCAGCCTGGGCAATGAGTGAAACTCCATCTCAAAAAAAAATAAAAATAAAAATAGAAAAGAAAAGAAAATGGAGATTTCAATGATGTTCTATTCTTTCAACTCCTTCAGCCAGAGTGCTGCTAAAACAGAAAATCAAATGCATGGTCTGATTCAGCAAAATCCTGATATATAAAGCCGAGTAAAATTCTTAGGACTTCCAAGTCTTTTTTATAAAATTTTGGGAATTTATTGATATTAAGAATAACCAGGAAGGTTGAAGAAAAAATGATAATACAAAACACATGAAAAATTGGTCACCAAAAGAAGCAATCTATTCTGGTCAGTGTAGCTTTTGCTGCTTTGCTTAAAGACCCTGAGAAATTTGCCTAATAATGGTAAGAATGTTCTATGCTCGCATATTCTCTCTCTCTCAGTGGTGTGTGTGTGTGTGTGTGTGTGTGTGTGTGTGTGTGTTTCTGTCTTTCTCTCTTCATTTATTCATTGTGGTAAGAACACTTCAAATGATATATACACTTTTAACAAGCTTTCGAGTGTACAATATCTTATTGTTGACGATAGGTACAATGCTGTACAGCAAATGTCTAGAGTTTTCTTTTTGCTTGATTGAAACTTTATGCCTCTTGATTAATAACTTCCTTTACTCCCCACCCCTTAGTCCCTAGTAACCATCATTCTACTCTTTGATTTTCTGAATTTGACTACTTTTGATACCTTATATAGATGAAATCATGCATATTTGTTTTTCCGTGACTGGATTATTTCACTTAGAATAATACCCTCAAGGTTTATCTATGTTTTCACTTATTGTAGAATTTATTTTTTGAATCTGAATAGCATTCTATTTTAGGTGGATACCACATTTTCTTTATCTAGTCACCTGTCCGTGAACAGATTATTTCTCCATGTTTTGACTCTTATGAATAGTGCTGCAATAAACATTGGAGTACTAATATTTCTTTTAGATTCTGATTTCAGTTATTTTGGATAAATACTCAAAAGCAAGATTGCTGGATCATATGATAGTTCTATTTTTAATTTTTAAGGAACCTCCATACTGTTTTTCCTAGTGGCTGTACCATTTTGCATTTCTAACAACAGTGTGCAAAATTCTAATTTATCCACATCCTTACCAACCCTTGTTGTCTTTTTAAAAATATTAGTTATCCTGACAGGAAGAGTGTTCTCTTTATACTCTACCACTCATTGTCCACAAATTCAGAACAACATCACATTAAACAAGACAAATTGTAAAATCATATATGGGATAAGGAGGCTCATAAGCTAAAAGGATAGATGTTTTGCTATTATGTCTATAAAGAAAATGGGTAAATGTGCAAAATTGTATTTCTAAGGTGCTAGGCAAGAGAATGAGAAATGTAAGTCTATATATTGAATTTAGAAATATGAGTTTATTTACCAGAGATTTTAAATTTGATGTGTTTCACCAAATGTGGTAGTAATCTGTTCCCAGCAAGGGTTGATAGTAACCTAAATAAATGGGGTTCCACACTAAATAAACTTGAGATGTCAGAAATCTTTTGATATAATGTAGAGATAAGATGCCAAGTCTATTCATGATAGAGATGTTGGAATGGGTTTATATTGCTTACTATGCTCAGCTACCACTTAGATAAGTTGCTGGATGAGGCAACAAATTAATCATTTTAAGAGGCATTGAGAAATTCTTTTAGGAAAAGGAAAGCAAGCATCTTTTAAAAATACTATTTTGGCTGTTTTCTAAACACCAGTGATTTAGATATTAAATTCTGCCAATGAAACATTCTGCCTGATTTCAATGTGAATAATAAGATGCTGGTGAGGCAAAATTCTAGTATCAATACTAAACTCCAGAGGTAAACTTCACAGTTACTAGGTCTTGCCTATAATCAGAATAGAATAATCGGCAAGACTGCATAGAAGTAACTAATTAATTATGGTTTCCTGCAACAAACATAATCAGGTACAAGTTGCATCATTATACAATTAGGTTTTTATAATTTCAAAAGCCCATACTCTATAGGCCTGGTTTACAGTTCCCTGAGTTGAGGCAACACAATCTCTATCCCTGACTCAACTTCTAGTCTAAATCCATTCATAATATTTATGGGTCCATAGGGTTCCCTGGAGTAAGAACTACACTATAACATTACAAGCACCTTTAATAAGTCACCATTTTAACTTTTACTGACATACCAATTACCTCTCCATTTACCAGGTAACTGTATACTTGGTAAAGTAAGCTAATCTCAATTCATCAGGAATAATCGTACACATTTCCATGTTACATTCAGGAATAGAATGTGGAATGGCACCATTATCATGGTGGTAGCTTATGGGTTTCAGGTTACAAATATGTTTGCCCATGTATATCTCAGTAGAACTTTATTGAGTAAGGAAATACATACTGGGACTATTTTCTTGAGTGGACAATTGGAATAAATATATTTTAGAAACTGGAAAAATCACCATATTCACTTTCTGATCCAAGGAGTTAAATCTATTAAGGAAGAGCCAAATGAAATAAACTAGAGTTTCCACTCCTCTCCAAATTTAAAACCCCAGAGCATTACCCTGTCTCTGGAGTGATTTTAACATTTATTCCACCAACAGAGATGTGAAAAAATGCAAAATTATTTATTTTTATCATAAACCATTTAACATTTCTGTTTACCTTGTGAAGAAAATGTTGGAATTTGGAGAAGACAGAATAATTGAAGATAATTGGGAGCTTAGTTAAATGGTGATATGATTGCTGCTGTTGTTTTATATATTCTATCTTTACTGAGGTGACGCAGCCCAGCCCTTATACCTAAGCTATTCGTCTCTCAAAAGTTTTCTCCTTCATTTAAGGAGTAGAAAATATCAGAAGCAATTTACCTTTTCCTAACAAAGATGAAAGTTCATATTTACAATCTTGCCTCAGAGTTTATTTAATTTCTAAGCCTATGCTATAAACATTGATCATTACATGCTCCCCAGGCCACGATTTTCATGCACTACTTTGAAAACATACTATTAGTTCCTGGAAAAGAAAAGGTAGTGGATATTTTAGCAGTGTTAGAAAGACAGATGTGTAACAGAGGAAAATGGATTTATCTCATCAAAATAAAGGCACCATTCATCTTATTTACATTTTCTGAGTATCTTGTCCTGGGAAATACTTGTATATTGTGTGCAGATTTGAAGAAATTGGCTCTAAATTGTAACCAGTATCACTGCAAAAAGAAACAGTGTTGGTACGGCTTCCTTTAATGCTTACACACCCGAAGGGCTATGATCGGTTAGTGAGGGGGAGCGACTCACAGTTCTTTTCATCCTTCTAAGAGTGGTGGGAAGAGGAAAAATTCACTATAGATGGGGAACATGGAAAATGTGTGAATTTTAATCAGTTTTACTGGTTGTATAGGACACGGCATGACAGATAACAATCTCAAGTTTCACAGGCACAGAATGCATCTGATTGCACCTGCAAACACCTATCCATGGGGCTTGATTGAGTACAGAGCAGAAGAACAACGTCTTGGAGTCATTGTGGGAAGCTGATCATCCTCCTGCGCTGCTGAAGCTCAGGGGTTTTCCCAAGTGCACTACAGCTACTTTCTGAAGTCCAAGGTTTGGGCAAAAGAGCAGAGAGGGAACTCTGGAGATACAGGATAGTGAGGATGATGGTACTGAAGAGCAAAGAGAACATCCCAGAATATACAAAAATTGTCATGCAGTCTATGAAGCACAGGGAAATTTCCCAAAATGTGCAAAGCCTGCATTTCTGCTATGAAACCTCAACAGAAATTCAGGATTTCACCAGTGCTTAGGCTCCAAGCCCTGGTGAAATCAGAGTCATGTCCCTGTCCTCAAAATGTTTGACACCGGGGTGGGCCCAAAATAAATAAAACCACGATGAAGCCTAGATGTAGTTTACCTACAGTTTAGATTGATTCCACCCTCTGACACTAGTGACAGGACAAAAGAAACTGTGTGTTCTTCACAGGAGCCCAGTTCCCAAAAATATAATAGAAAATGATACACTCCATTGTTAACAGGACCCTCTGTAGGGTTGGGAGGGCTCTATTTGCGTTAAGCATTTCTAGCTCAGCTTTACTTTAGTCAACTGAGGGAATAATGACAAGGTGTATCACTAAAATATGTGGATGCTATGTGAAATGAACTAAAATCATAATTTCATTTTTAAAAATTTCCTCCTTGAGCCCTCTACTTTAATTATAGGACCTGGATAACACCTGGTGTCCCCTAGTAAGAAATCCATAACTAGTAGACCTCAAATATTCTTTTATTCACCCTTCCCAATGCACAGTTATCCTAGAGAGTGACCAATTTGAGGAAACATTTGAGTGAGGAACATTCATATCACATTGTGATAATTACGCATACTTCACTCTGACATTTAACGTCATTTCTTGTATCTTGCCATTCTGAAATTCTGTGATCTATTCATTTTACAGAGCCCATTTTCTTCCCCAATATCTTCTGTGTACACCGAACTACAAAAATAAAAATTTTTTAAAAATGACAACCAAAGAAAAAACCCCAAACAGCCATTACAAGTTATCCAGAATAGTGAGTGACTTCTCCAGTACATTTCTTATTGCCTAAGGGGATGGAAGCCTTCTGGCAACTCTTAGAAATATAATTGCATACTGGTTTCTCTAAGGACAAAAACCAATTAAAAATAAGAGCCTTAATCCTCAGGAAAGATATTTTCCTCCTCTCCTTTTTCTTTGAGTATTTAATTTAGAAAATGTGTAATTACAAGTACTTGCTCCTCCTTTGAAATGTATATATCTCCTTTTCTAAACTAGATAGGCCTTTCAACTTTATAACCTAGGAATGTCTTTCTCAAGGACCTGGGAGCTATCTCTTTGAAATATAAACATCAAGGAAGATAGGACCCCTATGTTCCAGTTTCTGTAGAAAAATAGGAGTCCAATTTTTGGTAGACTCCTTGCTTCAAGCTGCAAAATTTCCTCCTGTTAAAAAGCTGTAAGTTTTCCTCTCCTCTGGATGAAGCCACTTAGCTAATCACAGATGATCACCCAAATTCCCAGGTCAAGTTAAGATAGATTATGTGTGACAAACGGTGTTGTGAAGTCCTCTTACTTGAAGACTAATGATAGTTTATAACATGTATGTAGTGGATTGTATCTGCTTAGCTAAATAATAAACGTGAGGGTTTTTTTTCTCCTTTTGCCGTCTTTTACTAGATTCCCTGTGATACACATTGCATTACATTTTAGGGCTTATTCAGTAGTAAATGTTTTATTTCTCTACCACCTTTGTGGAGAGGATATCTGCATTGGAAAAATATTCTGTTTTTCATTATATTTATCCAACAATTCTCAGTATATATTTAATAAATACATTTTAACCATTCCGATCTCCGTAAGTCTTCCCAGCAATGTTTACCACTAACAAAAATGTTCTAGCATCTGCACTCAATTTATTTTAAGTTATTGTTAATCTCAAGATTGAAGATACCTTCCTAATAAAAAAAAAATAGCTTGAACTCCAGGTACCGTTGCCAAATATTAAGTCACGTGTTACGGTTAAATATTCCCACATTAATGAATTCTGTTTACCCAGTTTTGTATTCTGTACTTCCTTCTTTGCACACCGCCTTGGGAACCACCCTTACACATGGTATCTTGTTTCCTAGAGCACAATATGACCAGGTTTTGAAGATCTATCAGCAAATGGGAATGTTTGTCCTGGTATAAGCTTGTGCTTCTCAACCTGGACCATATAGAAACTTGGCTTTCCAGCCTAAAGATGGATAAAAGGTGTTTGGGGCTAGTCTTGAAGGAAATAAGTGTTACCTTGTGATGGACTTGCTTAACCTGAGTGCATTTTATAGTCTTGGCTAGTGAAAATGATCACTTCCCCTTTCTAAAAATCTTAATAGCATGAAGAGGATCAAGTTTTTCAAGTGCAGCTACCTATATTTTTCCTCCTCAAGTCTCAGATGCCTTCTCTTTTAATCACTCCTTTATTTTATAATAGAAGACTATTCAGTAATGCACATTTAACCTTTTCTTTGAAGCTTTGCCAAGACTAAATGCACATTTTTTTTTCTTCTTTCAGCACTGTCAATCATGTGACTACAAGGGGTAAGACTAATTTAAAGTTGCTATGGAGGTCTTCTGGTTTGAAAGCATTCATTGCATTGGCAAGAACTGCCTTAAAGCTATTAGGTTATTTTTACAAAGTATCCAGTAATGTCAATCCCACTCCACAATCACAATTATGTTTATTGTTGCCCATAGTGATTGAACACTACATTAATTATCCAATAATTTGCCCTCTACATGTATTTTATCTCAATTACTAATTAAGTAATCTTAAGTAATTGCGATGTGACAATTTCCAGAAGCTATTATCATCTCAAACTCATATTACTGGGTTCACTGTTGTCTTAAGTCAGGTGAGTAATCCAATTTTACAATCTCATTCCAAAGGCTTATTTTCTGAAACAGTACCTGCTAGCAATTTCCTGAGCTTTAGTTTCTAAAAAAGACAAACCTTATACATAGAATAAATGTCAATTCTTTATTTGACTCTTAAAATCCTAGGGCAATGACAATAAGACAATAGGGATGTGATACAGGTAAAACTGGGAAGAACTGCATGATGAAGCATTACTCTCCTGGCTACTGCTTTACGATGAGCCCTAAAAAATCATAGCAGTTTCTCTAGCAGATACATCTATAGACTCATGTAGACTGGCTCCATGGACGAACAGCCTGGAGTTGTCCATTGAAAGGACAATAGCAGGTATAATTTACTTGCATATTACCCTCTTATTTCCTGTTTGATTTCATTCACAGTAGAACAGCTTCAAAGCCTGAGGCTGATCAGCCCCATAGCTAGTGGTTCTGATTTAACCAATTTGTTTTTATGCAAGAACATGGCCTGCCACACCACTGGGCAGGAATCTGATTTCTACCGTGTCCACCTTATGTAAATGGACACGGATTTCTACCGTGTCCAGCTAATGTAAAGATAAGTGTGTGGGAATGCGGAGGCCGGGGGTGGGGTGGGTAGGGTGTTAACTTTCCGAATGTATATCTATAGGCATTGAGGGATAGAAAACTATGCATGTTTCCATAAACATTAATGCTTTTTTTTTTTTTGAGACGGAGTCTGGCTCTGTCACCAGGCTGGAGTGCAGTGGCGCGATCTCGACTCACTGCCACCTCCGCCTCCCGGGTTCAAGCGATTCTCCTGCCTCAGGCTCCCAAGTAGCTGTGACTACAGGTACGCGCTACCACACCCAGCTAATTTTTGTATTTTTGTATTTTTAGTGGAGACGGGGTTTCACCATGTTGGCCAGGGTGGTCTTGATCTCCTGACCTCATGATGCACCCTCCTCGGCCTCCCAAAGTGCTGGGATTACAGGCGTGAGACACCATGCCAGGCAGGAAACGTTCTTAATGTGAAAAATTTTACTAACACAGCTATATGAAACAATTTAAGTTGTAGAGGGAGAAATTGTACCTACGTTTTCCAAAATGTAGACAATAAAGGATAGCTAATATCATCTGTAACTCTTCCCATGGCACTAGATTCCATTCAGCATTGTAGTACAATAGAAAAGAGATGTCAAGATAAAAATAAAGGCAATAAAATTATCTCTAGTTATGGATAATAGGAAAAAATTGATTTAATTCTAATCTAAAACAATTAGAAATAAGTTTGGCAACATTCTGAATATGAAAATTGATTCATAAAAATAACATATTGGATTTGTTTTCAAGAAAAATAATCAACTAAAAAGTTACTAACAGATAAGACAATTTAAGCCATCACCAAAAACTATACCTTACACATGAATATATTTAATGTACATTAGCATCAAGAGAATGTTAAATCTTTTCTAAAGATTATAAATGAAGGTCAGAATTAATAGTTCTAGGGCTGGGTGTGGTGGCTCATGCCTGTAATCTCAACACTTTGGGAAGCCAAGGTGGGCAGATCACTTGAGGGCAGGAGTTCAAGACCAACGTGGCCAACATGGCAAAACTCCATCTCTACTAAAAATGCAAAATTTAGTCGAACATGGTTGGCACCCATCTGTAGTCTCAGCTACTCGGGAAGCTGAAGCACGAGAATCGCTTGAACCCGGGAGGTGGAGGTTCCAGTGAGCTGAAATTGTGGCACTGCACTTCAGCCTGGAAAACACCATGAGACTGTCTAAAAAAATAAAAATAAAAAAAAAGTTCTATAAAGCACACTATTTAGTGGTGAAATCAAGATTTTAAGGATGTTTATTAATTTCAAAATTATCCAAAAATTATTTAATATGTATGTTAATTTGTAATGGTTATTTTGAAGTAGAGCCAAGGAGAGGATATTTAAAAATTTGAACCTATTAAAACATTTGTAAAAGGGTAAATCCACCAACAAGGAGAATGAATAGAAAGCTCAGGTATCTATTTCTATCCATCTAGATTTGTTCTATTACAAATGTGGGAAAAACATATCAATAAGTAAGCAACAAGTTGGCCCACTCCATGCAACAGAATAAATGAGGATGTCTACAGTATCTCCAAAGGTAGACATCAGGTTCTCCTGCCTTAAAAGTGACCAAAATATAAGCTGTATATTGGGGTATAATTATTAAAAAAAATTTTTTTTTGAGACAGAGCTTCACTTTTGTCGCCCAGGCTGGAGTGCAGTGGCACGACCTTGACTCACTGAAACCTCCCCCTCCCGAGTTCAAGCAATTCTTCTGCCTCAGCCTCCCAAGTAGCTGGGATTACAGGCACCTGCCACCATGCCCAGTTAATTTTTGTATTTTTGGTAGAGACGGGGTTTCACCCTGTTGGCCAGGCTGGTCTGGAACTCCTGACCTCAGGTGATCCGCCTGCCTCGGCCTCCCAAATTGCTGGGATTACAGGCATGAGCCACCACGCCTAGCCATTTAAAAGTATTTCTAAAGCATAAAACATAATATGAAGAACTGACATTTAGGATTGTATACATACCATATAGATGTTTAGTGAAAGTTATATACAAACTCAGAAACTACAGGAGGCTAAATTCTAATGTGTGTGTATATATATATATGAGCTATTGCAAATCACTAAGAAATGAAACAGAAAATACAGTAGAAAATGGAGGAAAGGTATAAATAATTAATGGAGGATAAAACTTAAGTGAATTCCATACAAGGTACACAAATCATAGCTAGTCAGTGAATATAAAAATGTGCCACTATATTATGTCTATATGATCTTCAAAGATAAAAATGTTGAGTAAAACTTTCAGTGGAAATGAAGTGAACTCTGCACTGCTAGTAGAAATTCATCTGGCGAATTCAAAATAGGGAGTAATCTGACATCCTCAGTTATAATAAATCCTGTGATTCAGGAATCTTTTTCTGCGTATATAGACCAGAGAAATTCTCACAGAGCGCTGAAAGATAAAATGTGCCAGAAGTTCGTTTCAGCATTCTTGATGTAATGGGATTCGGAGAGTGTTGAATTGTTTATTTCTTTTTTTAAAAGTTAATTTAATTTTTTTGGTTTTTTTTGAGACGGAGTCTTGCTCTGTCACCCACGCTGGAGTGCAATGGCATGATCTTGGCTCACTGCAACTTCTGCCTCCCAGGTTCAAGCAATTCTGTCTCAGCCTCCCGAGTAGCTGGGATTATAGGCACTTACCACCATGCCCGGCTAATTTTTGTATTTTTTGTAGAGACGGGATTTTACCATATTGACCAGGCTGGTCTGGAACTCCTGACCTTAAGTGATCCACCCACCTCAGCCTCCCACAGTGCTGGGATTACAGGTGTGAGCCATAGTGCCTGGCCATGCATTGTTTAATTCTGATGAAAGAGAGAAATAGAGGATACACCCTGTAAATGCAATCCAGGAGTCAAAAGAAGTAAATTAATGTAAATACTTAATATAACTCCTTTTACGTATAAACAAAAGAAACATGTTTTATATTGCTAAGTCATGTATGCATTTAAAAAATACACACTCCATTCAGGCACAATGGCTCATGCCTTTAATCCCAGAACTTTGGGAGGTGGAGGCAGGAGAATTGCTTGAGCCCAGGAGTTCAAGACCATCCTTGGCAATGTAGTGAGACCTCCATCTCTACAAAAAATAATAAACTTCTCTAATGTACACCACCTCTCTAGTCCCAGCTACTCGGGAGTCTGAGGTAGGAGAATCAGTAGGGCCCAGGAGGTTGAGGGTGCGGAAAGCTATGATCATGCTACAGCACACAGGCCTGGACAATAGACCAAGACCCTGTCACTCATACACACACACACACACACACACACACACACACACACACACACGATTACAAAATATATAAAATTTAAGGATATATACTAAACATATTAGAGTGCCTGTGAAGTGACGGGGGTAAGAAAAATGAAATGTATGAATGAAGCAATAATTAAAGAAATAAAAGAAAGAAGGATGGATGAAGAGTATGTACCTTAACTGAGACATACGTTTTCCCAGTTCTCTTCCTTACGAGGTAAAGAAAAGTAACATAACAATATAATAACAACTTATTGTAACATAGTTAGCATAAGCAGGTGATAAGTGAATAATAGTTATGACTCTAGCATATAATTGTTAATGACATGTACATTTCCTATTTAGTTTGGAGTACACAGACATTTGCACATATCCTAGTGTCTAGCTAATTTGGAGGTTAGATTTATAGTGAAATTTTCTACTTCCAGTCTGAACTTCTTATGATATGATAATTCTGATTCTTTTAGGTTTAAAGATTCACTTTCAAAATAGCTTATCCAATATTTACAATAAACAAACAAAAATAAGCAAAAAATACAAACAACTTTCTCTAATGTGCTTCATTTATATTTTTTAAGTTGTCAAATAAAAAAGATAATTGTTACTAACTCATCTAATTCTTAAAAATATCCTTGATTTAAATCGTTTACTTTAAACAGTGTAGTGAACGATTTTGTTGCAGAAATAATACTTCAATACAATGTTATTTCTCATTAATCTTTAACTAAAATCAATGAATATAACCTAATCCCAGTTTCATTCCCAAACTTCTCAGAAGCAGAGCCTTATGGATCCAATATCTTTATTCTAGGACAAGATCAAAATACTTTAAAGATTGTCAATATTAGTCTGCTCAATCATCTCTCAGTTGAGAAAAATTACGTTATTTTAATGATTTGCATATATAAATAAATCTGTTATTACAATGAATCTGTCTGCATGGCTTATACCATATAAGTGTCTTAAAATTGGGGGTAGTTCTGTTTATAAATTAAAAATTGAAATATTTCTTGATACACATCTTTCTTCAACTATTGTAGTGGAAGGAAGTTCATTAAATAAGGCTCAAAGTTGTCTGGGAGAAAATACATAAGGTTGCTCAGACAACTAGGAAATTGGGAAGAATACAGCAATGAACTGGGAGTGAGGTGTCTTGAGTTCTGAGCCACATCTTTTGCCAGGAATGTGTTGTACGAAGACGGATTCTTTTCCCATCTTATTTTCTATTTTCCTTATTTTGAAAAAAGAGGGGAGTAGAGTTAGAAACACACTTACATATTGCACATTCCTGAAATTATTCAAACCTGGGGTCAATTCATTGAGCAAAATTTTTCTGAATGCCTTCTATGTGCCAGACGTTGTTCTGCATCGTGAGGAAGCATTGATTTATAATAAGGACAAGGAGAGTTAAGAGTTTATGCAAGGGAATGGTTATAATGCTGGCTCATGGAATTTAACCTATATATGAAAAATAAAAAAGCATCAAAGGGGTGAGAAATAAGTGGATTTGAAAATTTAGCAGCAACAAAGGTTTGTACATCTGGGTAGGGTCAAAGCAGTTTGGATGTGGAGAACTCGAAGGACTAAACTGAAGGCTAAGATGGAAAGTGAAATATTTGAAAGTGAGGTAATGAAAGGGTTGCAGTGATTGGGAACAGCAAGTTATAAGGTTAACTCTCCTTATTTCAGAGCTGCAGCTGCTGCACTGACACCACCAATTATTATTTTTTCCCTCATGATCAGAAAATTGCTGCCAGAAGCTACTGAGCTTTATCTTTTCAGGATAAAAAACAGAATTCTCAGCCATGTGCCTGTGCTTGAAATAATCCCTGTGGCCAACAGAATTAGAGGCATGATTTTCTTGGTTCTTCTAGGATGCTCTAGAGATGATTCATATTTAAGATGGAAACTCAAAGGAATAGAACTTGAAGAGTCAGGAAAAAAAAGTGTTGAATTATCTTAGGAAAATCATTGACAAAAATAGCACCGATGCTCTAAAAGCAAAAAGCAAATACCTATTAGAGTATATCAGTGTAACTTTTATGATTTTGTAGCATATTTAGAGTTTTCATTTCTAAAGATTAATCTATCTAATATTAAAAATTGTTCAAGACTGTGACCAAATACACAAATTTGCCAATTATATTGTTGTAATCCAAAATTTATTCATTGGATATTTTCATTTAGTATCAGAAATTGTCAAATGGTGAATTATTATGTTTTTTAAATTTATATTTTTCTTTTCTTAAAATTATTATCCCCTCCATCTCTCTCTCTCTCTCACACACACACACACACACAGACACACACAGACGCACATACTCCACTCAGAAGGCATTGAAAATAAGATAATGTTTCCCACTAGTTCAAAAAGAGCAAACTGGGACATATTTGAGAAGACTAAATGTAATTATCTAAAACCTCTTAACTGCAATAATCATCTTTCAAAATCATTATTACCAATTAAGGCTAATAGCTGGTAGGAAATTAAAATATATCTACCAAGTGTATTTTAAATATATTTCAAGAATTAAATATGAAAGCCAAATAGATAGAATAGAGAATTAGTAATCCACAGTTCAGCTCAGTCACTGACTGCTTTTGGTACCCACTAGGTGCCTCAGGTATTGTGGCTCTTCTTGGAAATAGAAGAATGCATTAGAAGTAATTTATATACTCAGACTAAGATACCTGCTATTTGTTACCTGCAGTTTTATGATATTGCAAAAGGGAACGGATAATTTTTTTCATCTACATTTAGATGCAAGTATCTTTGATCTATTTGCCAGAATTGTTTGAACAATCTTTTTGTATTGCTCAATAAATAAATTTACCCTTTCACCAATTGTTCATTAAAGCTCAATCCTATTTTGCCTTAACATAATTAAAATATTTCATCAAAGAGAAATCTTGAATCTGTCAACATTTTTAAAAAATTTATGTGCACCTATGAAATTGATACTGAATCGAATGTTGATAATACACAAGAAAGATTTTATAATAATGTTTTTGCTCAAAATCAGCATAAATTATTTTTGGTTTGTTTTACACGCATTCAATTGAAATTTTCAAAATCGAAACTACTTATCTATCTATTTATTGTATTCGTGTTTTCAAACTAGTTATTATTCTAGGTGTTTGAAATATAATAGTGAGAAATAGGTAGTCAGAAAATATTTATTTCACCTTAAGATTTGAGTGCAGTGAGAGGAAACAGTATAAAGAAATTTAGAAATAATAAGTAAGGTAGTGTTTTGCGGACATATTAATAGTCTCCTAAAAGGTGTACACACTGTACCCCCTGAACCCACAGATTTCAATGTTATCTTACATGGCAAAGCATATTTTGCAAGTGCTTTAAACTCCTGTGAGAAGGGGAATTATTCCTAAGTATTCAGGCAGGCCCAGTCTAATCACAAGGTGTCTTAAACACAGTGAAATTTTGGGAACAGAAAACCAAATACCACATGTTCTCACTAATAAATGTGAGCTAAATGATGAGAATCCACGGACACATAGAGGGGAACAACACATATTAGGGCCTTTTGGAGGGTGGAGGTTGAAAGGGGGGAGAGGATCAGGAAAAATAACTAATGGATACTAGGCTTAATTCCTGGGTGATGAAATAATCTGTACAACCAACCCCCGTGACACAAGTTTACCTAGGTAACAAACCTGAACTTGCACCCTTGAACTTAAAAGTTAAAAGAAAGCCAAACAACAACAGCAGCAGCAACAACAACAGCAAATGACAGTAAAATTGTCCAGGCTGTGCTCAGAAAAATAATGTAAGAGATTCCAGGTGAGAACTCACCCCAAATTTTCTGGCTTTGAAAATGGAGGAATGAAGCTATGAATCAAAGAATACGGCACCTATAAGAAGCTGAAGATAGCGCTCTGGTTAAAGCCAGCAAGAAACAGGGGTCCTAGTTCCTATGAGCACTATGAACTGAATTTTGGCAACAAACCAAATGATCAAGAAAGCAGGTCCTCCCCTAAAACCTTTGCAAAGGAACACAGCCCAGTCAATACCGTGACCTTAGTTAAATGAAGCAGTGCTGACTTTCTTACCTATAAAACTACAACGTAATAATTTGTGTTGTTTTACATCAGCAAGATTATGGTAATTGTTATGGCAATGATAGAAAACTAATACATACTTTTAAAGCTAAATGAAGCAAGATACAAGACCAGAATGATCTGTGTGGGAGGCAGGGTGAAATTTTCAACGTGTAACTGAAGCATTCCTGATTGAAAAAGTTTGGAGGGAAAGCATTCCAGTCAGAGGGAATGGCAAATTCAAACGCCCTAAGGCAGAAGTGCTTGTTGTATTCAATGAACAGAACACAGATCAGTATGGGTGCAGCAGAAAGGGAAAAAAAAATAACAGACGAAAAAGTCAGAGAGGAAACCAGAACATGATAATTAAGTTTCTTTAAGCCAAAGTAAGATTGTTTCTGTTTTAGCTGAAATTAAAAGATAATACAGAACATAAGAAATATAATGTTATGAACATAGTTTACAAGGGGGAAAATTGAGTAAAGATAAAAACTTAAAATGAATTTCAAAAATCTTAACTAAAGAAGAATGATGACTTGTATTGGCATTATAGGCACTAGTAAGTGATGATGGTCAGAATTGGGATTTTAAAGACAGGACCAGGAAAAATGGAATTGAAATGAGTAAATAATGATTATATGTATCATTTTAGACTAAGAAATAGGTTCACTCTTGGGCATATTTTAAACAGCATTAGACAGGCAAGTCAAAAAGTGATGTAGGAATGTGATAAAAGTTTAATATAGTTTAACTTAAGAGTTGATGTAAGTAAAATATAAATTTAAGATTGATGTAAATTTAAGTAAGACAAGAGTAAGTTCAATGTGATGTTCTTACATATTTCTGAGTCATCAGTTTAATGATGGTATTTAAAGTCTGGGGTGAATAAGGGGACTCTGGCAGTGAATGCACACAGACATGAAAAGAAGTTTGACTAACTCTGGTACAAACAATGTTTAAAAGTTGGAAAGTCAAGGAATGGGCAAAGAAGACTACAAGGTGATGACTAGTGATGAAGGGCTGTGCAGGAAATAACAGGATAACATATTTAAAGAACATGAGGGACAGACCATTTCAAATGCCATACACAGGCCAGCACTGAGAATTAGCCTTTGATTTGTCAATGTGGATGTTGTTGCTGACCTGTATTGAAGATCATTTGATAGTGACTTGTGAACAAAATTCTGATATGAGTGATAAGAAGAAAAAAATAAGACACACAGTAGTAATTACAAATATATATAATGCAATATAGTGTGTTTCGTTTTCTTTGTTTTTAATGTTGTCTTGACCCAATTTGGGGTCTCTGGCTAGAAGCCAGTCAATTGCTCTTCTTGAGAAGGTGATTAAGTTAAGATCCAACCAGATTTTTGATCTGCCACTCAGACTCTGGAGCCACTATGCCCCTACCATAATCACCCTAGAGACAGATACCAGACAACTAGGGACCGTCTGTATGTTCCAGAACTGGAAAAATAACTCAAATTAGCAATCCACAGAAAGCCTACACAACCAACCTAACCCTACCCTGTTTGCCATGCATAAACTGCCCCCTACAGCTAGATACAGATTGCTGTGATTCTGTTCCTGTCCCTGAGTGCGACCACCTTTAGGGCCCTGAGTTGCACCCTCTTATTAGAGCTGCCAGTCACAAAGTGTTGTCTTCCATCAATCTATCTGAGTGCTATTAGTGTCATTGGGTTGGATCTGTCATCAAAAGAATTTTCACATCTTATAAAACAAATATCTCTTGAGACCTCTTGCTATCGGGGAAATTAATTGAGGTGATAAGATTTGGTCAAGAAAAGTTTTTCCTTTTTTTTTCTCTTTACTACATTTAGCAGAGACTGTAGTATATTTGGATATTGATGGGAAAGATTTAATAAAGAAAAAATTACCATTGATTTAGATTTAAAAGTTGAGAACATTGCAGGACCAATATATTTTAAGAATCCATCCACACTGAGAGATGGGTTGATGACAGCAAGAGGAATTCTTAATAAAATAGTTACCTCTAAAGTAGGAATAAACATAAACTCTTGCTGACAGCAATATTAAGTATATGCCACAATATCAATGTATATAGGCTCCCAAGACAAAACATGTGAGAAAAACACAGTTAAAACTTTAAAACACTAACATGTTACACTGTGGATCAAGGAGTTTCCTTTAAACCATGAAAACTTGGCTTATTTTCATTCCATTAAAAAAACATACTGTAAAAATTGCTGAGCTCTGCAATTCTCCATGGAAATTAACCAGTTTAAATAAACAAAAAGCAGTGAAATGTGACAGACTAACTCACAATTAAGACTAGCTCAATGTAGTCAGCATCGGTATATCGTTTTTCTTTAGACTACCATTGTCCCGAGAGTATTCAAGAGCACTATAAAGGGTCAGGCTTATTCAATTATTAAATATCCTACTGGGAATCTGCTGCCTAACCTACATCTTTTCTGTGTAGAATTGCAGCAATGAGGAATGTTTGAGTGTTTGATTTTATGCATATGTTTGCAGTCTATCCAATTTTAAAGTAATAATAAAAAGGCGCCTGATCTTTATTCATTGTAAATTTTTATTTACTTCAGTAAAGTACGTTTAAATTATCAACCTCAGATTTTGATTTTGCATACTGTTTAGGTCTTTACTTTTATATTTTCGCTTGGTGTGGAGATGATCAATATGTTTTTGTCCTCTTTATAACAAAGCCATTCTATTTTCTTGTTACTCATTGTTAATGTAAAAATACTCTAATAAAAACTCTTGGGGATAAACAGATTTAATAAATGGAGATTTGCAATAGTCAAAGAGTTTTGAGATAAAACATTACTAGGGGTGTCCAGTCTTTTGGCTTCCCTGGGCCACATTGGAAGAAGAATTGTCTTGGGCCACACATAAAATACACTAACATTAATGATAGTAGATGAGCTTTAAAAAATCGCAAAGAAACTCATAATGTTTTAAGAAAGTTTACCAACTTGTGTTGGCCCACATTCAAAGCCGTTCTGGGCCGCATGTGGCCCATAGGCCGTGGGTTGAACAAGATTGTATTAAACAATCACTTTGCCTAATTTCACAGGCAGATTGTTTTTCAAAATGAGGTCTTGCTATGTTTTCCACGCTGGTCTCAAACTCCTGGGCTCAAGGGATCCTCCTTCCTCAGCCTCCCAAGTAGCTGAAATTACAGGCTTGTGCCACTGTGTCTAGCTATTAGCAAATGTCTTTGAAAGTCAGAAATATTTCCAAATAAAAAGCAAATATAAAATATTTCATAGATTTTCAGAATTTTATGTTCCACCCTTGGTATTACATTTGTATTTGAAATGTGTCATTCAATTGTTCATATACTGAATTATTAATCCATCTTTCCAAGAATGTGTTATAAGCCAAATCAAACAGAAATACCAGAATTCCTGAAAAATGATGTTTTTACTTGAGAATTATTGGTTAATACAAAAATGTCCAATATAGAGTGAAAATTCTTTTAACTTTCTGTGTAAAAATACGTTATATCTTTATAAAGTCAGTGATTTGGCTGGGTGGGATAGCTCATGCCTATAATTCCAGCATTTGGGGAGGCTTAGGTGGGAGGATTGCTTGAGCTCAGGTTTCAAAACCAGCCTGTGCAACACAGTGAGATCTTGTCTCCACTAAAATTTTAAAAAGTGTTCAGCGTGATGGTGCCTGTAGTCCCACCTACTCAGGAGGTTGAGGCAGAAGAATTGCTTGAGCCTGGGAAGTGAAGGCTGTAGTGTGCCATGATCGCACCACTGCACTCCAACCTGGGTCACAAAGGAAGACTTTGTCTCAAAAAAAAAAAAAAAAAAAAAAAAGTCAATGATTTGATTATAATGACAATAAGAAATAGTCTAATTTTGGGAAAATATAGCAGATTCTATTTTAGATATTATTACTGAAGTGACTTTCAGTAAAATATCTACCATGTTCATCTCTCTCTCTCTCTATATATATATATATCAATGTATTTGTTTTACATAATAGGTGAAATTCATATGTAGAGTATTTTCTTTTTTGAAATATAAACTTACAAAGATTTCAGTCTTACAACTGTTACAACTTAGGCATTTATTGCAGAGGCTGAAAAATGAGAAATGTTAAAAAAGCAGTAAAATATTTAATCAGCATTTAGAAATATTGTTAATTTATCTCTCAGTTTTACTTGAAAACAGTCTTTAACTTCAGATTTAGTTTTCAAAATTTTTAACCAATCTAGAATAATTTGTTTTTCTCTATTACATATTGGGAATAATTTCTGAGGTATATATCTTTAGAAAGTGTGTATCATATTACAACCATTAATAACTGATTCTCGCTTAAAGACAAAATTAAATACTCAACTATGTTGAAAAGAGGCTGATGACTCATTTACATACAGTACCTTTAAAGGTTGTTACATACTACTATTTTTTTAAATAATACAAATTTATTCCAGCAATAGAACACTGATAATACTGTTATATATTATATTTCTGTTGCAGTTGGGTTGGATGATGAATTATCATAAACTTGGTCAGAAATAAAAGATGAACAAGAAACACTATTTAAATACAAGATTCAACCTTATTTGTCTGCAAGGAGAACCTGTTATTTTGACCAGAAGGATGGAACAACCTACATGTTATAGACTGAGCAGTTGGCATGAAAGCAATTAGTGTAAGTGAGCATACGCTTTTTAAATAAACTTTCCTTAGCAAAAGCTGTTCCTCCTAGCAAACCAGTTATATTCAAAAATTACTTCAAACAGTAGTGAGAATTATGAATAATATTTTGTAGCTTTATTTATATTTATTTTTTAGGAGGGGAATGGAAAGCCTGCACTTGTATCTAATAAAGACGTATGTGATTTTTCTCATCTGATTCTTAAAATAAATTTTAGCCTTTTTTTTTTTTTTTTACCTCTGAGGATTTGAACCCATCTGTTACCAAAGCTACTCTTTCTAACAGTGTCTGCTCTTGAATACAGTTCTGAGATATAACTTTAGGATGTATCTTAAACCTGAGTTCCCAGAACTCATAAGTTTTATTTAGAAATTTGAAATAAACATAGGTTATTTTTCTTCACATATCTTATGAGAAACAATTTATATAAAATTGTAAACAGTTCGATAACATTTATATTTTTAAACAAATACTCAAAAATGAACAGAAATTTTCTTTCATTGTCTTCTGTTTATCCGTGTTTAAAATATGTATACTTAACCCACATGTATTTCTTGTTTGTTTCATTTCCCTTTTTTGTTAATTAATCATCCTGTTCATCATATTACTAGTAATGCTTCTTTAAGTCTAATATTTCTATATCTCTATTCCTAAATATCAGAGGAAAAAATGGTAAAAAATGTGACAGAGAAACACTTCTCAAATTTATATGAAGATGAAAGAGTTTAAATTTCTACAAACGTAACAAAAATATCCAAAAATACAGTTTTATATGATAGATGTATAATCAGGTTATTACAAACCTGTTGTTTTATGTATGAATGGGGACAAGGTGAATGAAAATTATCTTTGTGCCAGATAATAAACATTTTTGTGCAAACATACATCTATCACCAAACTATCATCTGAGATTTGGTTTATGAGCAAAAAGATCTCTAAAATGCCAAACACTTACAAACAAAATTGACAAATACATGTGCAGATGATTAAGGTTTTTTGCCTAAGTGCAGGTAGAGAGGATGAGAGAAAGCTCCAGAGGTTCAGCTCCATTGTTACATTATTCTGATTTATGTTTCCTTGGCATATTTATTATTATTAATTTATTAGTTTCTACTTTTCTCTAACCAGCTTCATAATACATTGGGCTTTACAATCAAGATAATAAACACAGCGGGGTCTAGACATAAGGAGAGATCAGGTTTTATATTTTCTTCAAGTAGCTGCTGAAAATTATTCCTCCTGAAAATGCTTTTCATGTCCTAATTTCTGATTTGTGATTTTGATTCATTCTTTGGGTGTAACAACCACTTTTCTTCTCCCAGTGTTGTTATAAAAACATAGCCGTATTCCATACAGTAGTAACTCATGAAGTTTCAAATCAAAGAGTTAACATGCCAAAGAATAAATGGAAATAAGAGAAAGCTAGCCAGGCAGGGGCCATAACTTATTGAGGGTGAGGTGTTTTTCCAGGAAGAGATGACAGGTCTATTCAACTGTAAGAAGTGGGTCAAACTCTACAGTGATTTAGTTCTAGAGCCGTGAACTATAGCAGATAAAGCCAAGCAAGTCTCATCAATCTTGACATGCAGAATGACAAATAGTTAGAGCACTCAGGTAATGCAGGTTTCAGGATATGTAAAGTAAGTTCGAGGTAGTAGTACTCACAAAAAACAACAACAACAACAACAACAAAAAACACCTGATTGTGAACTGTGGTCATGGCACAAAAGTTTAATTTGTTTTATAATACATGCTGAGTGGGGAGGTAAGCTAGGCCAAATCACAAGGAGCATGTGGGGAAAGATATTGGGGATAAAGGCACAGTTTAAGTTTTTGCAAACAAGCAATGCAAAGAATGTATGTGCGAATTTAGGCCAGATCAGGAATTCAAGAGAGAAGAGACAGATCTACATTTCTTGTATTGTTCCACACAAAAGTCATCAGAATTTTAGTGTTTCAATGTAACTCATAAGGAATGAGACATTTATTCAATCATTGCAGTTCAGTCCTGAAGTTATACCATTAGTTTTGTTATGGGGATGGATTCAGGGACACCTCAACATCAGTAGTCTACCTATTCCATTAAACTAATTTTTTTTTTCCTTTTTCTAGTCACCTGAGTTTAAATAGGATAGATTTCATTTTCCTGTTCAGACAAGGAAAAACCCAAGCCAAAGCTTCATTCCACAGGTTGGACAAAGTTATAAAACAAAAAAAGTACATAGCCGCCACTGCAAAGAAACTAAAATTTCCTCCTTTTTGTATCACTCATTCTTAATAAAATATCTAAATTCTCTTTGGAAGAAAAAAAAGAGATCACCTACTTTACCATTTCTACAGACACTGTATGTTCTACAGAGATGACATAGATATACCCATGTATATCCATGTATACATATGCATGTTTGGGGTTATAGCAGACATTGCCTTTATTGCCTTATGGTTTTACTCCAACCATAGTCTCCTAGTAACAATTTGACAAATACATTACCACCAAGTGGTCCTTAGAAAATGAGAACTCACATTTTAAAAGTCTAAAACTGGGAGAATTCAAAATTACCCAGATTTATATGAATATGTAATTGGTTATGGACAGATGTCATAAATGGAAAACACTTATTTATAATTTTATTCATTAAACTGTAGAGAGAATTATTTAAGAATGCTGACTTTTTCCCCAGATTTATTGAGGTATGAATGACAAATAAAAATTATGTATATTAACATTTAGTGGTAACAACATAATGTTTTGAAATATGTATGCATTGTGAAATAATTAACATAATCAAATCAATTAACATATTCATTACCTCATATAGTGACTTTTTTTGTGTGTAGTGAGAACACTTGATATCTATTCTCTTAGCAAATTACATGTGTACAATAGATTACTAGTAATTACAGTCAGCATGCTGTTTATTGCTGCAAGTGGTAGAATTTTTTCTAAGGCTAAATAAAATTCCTCTGTGCGTGTGTGCATGTGTGTTGCATATTTTCTTTGCTCATTCATATGTTGTTGGACACTTAGGTTTTTCCCTCCCTACACTATTGTAAATAATGTTGCAACAAAAATGGAAGTGCAGAAATCTCTTTGATTTTGTGATTTTATCTCCTTTGACTATATACTCAGAAGTCAGATTGCTGAATCCCATGATAGTTTCATTTTTTTAATTTTCGAGGAACCTTTATACATTTTCCATAATGGCCGTACCAATGTACATTCCCACCAACAGTTTACAAGGGCTCTCTTTTTTTAACATTCTTACCAACATTTGTTATCTTTTAATTTTTGATAATAGACATCCTACAAAGTGTAAGATGGTATTTCATTGTAATTTTGATTTGCATTTATCTGATAAGTATTGAGGTTTCACATCTGTTTGTCATTTATATGTCTTCTTTGGAAAAATATCTGTTCATGTCCTTTGACCTTTTTTTGATTGAGTCATTTCTTGTTATTGAGTTGTGTTCTTTTTACATTTTGGATATTAATTATTGGATTTACAGTTTACAAATATTTTCTCCCTTTCCATTGGTTGCCGTTTCATTTTGTTGATTGTTTCCTTTCCTGAATAGAAACTTTTTAGTTAGATGCAGTCCTACTGTTTAATTTTGCTTTTGCTGCCTGTGCTTTTAGGATCATATGCAAAAAAAAAAAAGTAATGTATTGCCCACAGTAGTGTCAAGGAGATTTTTTCCTATGTTTTATTCAAGGACTTTTATAGTTTCACATCTTATGCCTAAGTTTTAAGCCATTTTGAATTATTTTTTCTATATAATGTTAGAGAGAGTCCCAATTTTATTTTTTTAATGTGAATATCCAGTTTTCTTGTTTCTCTTTGTGTATTCTAGGTATCTTTATCAAAAATTGTTGACCATGTATTGTGGCTGTTTTTCTAAGCTCTCTATGCTATTTCATTGGTCTATGTGTCTGTTTAAATGTCAGTACTATACTGTTTGGATTACTATAGCTTTGTAATATAGCTTGAAATTAGGGGGTGTGATTTCTCCAGGTTTGCTCTTCGTGCTCTATATTGCTTTATGTATTAGAGGTATTTTCTGATTCTATGTGGACTTTGGAATTATCTTTTCTTTCTTTCTTTTTTTTTATTTTTTAAAGACAGAATCTTGCTCTGTCACCTAGGCTGGAGTACAGTGGCACAATCTTGGCCCACTGCAACCTCTGCCTCCCAGGTTGAAGTGATTCTCACATCTCATCCTCCTGAGTAGCTTGGATTTCAGGCCTGTGCCACCACGCCTGGCTAATTTTCGTATTTTTAGTAGAGTCGGGGTTTCGCCATGTTGGCCAGGCTGGTCTCACTCCTGACCTCAAGTGATCTGCCCTCCTCAGCCTCCCAACATGCTAAGATTACAGTTGTGAGCCACCTCACCAGGACTATTTTTTCTTTTTATGTGAAAAATGTCATTGGAATTTCGATAGCAGCTACATTGAATCTGTAGATTACTTTGGGCAGTATAAATATTTTTAAAATATTAATTTTTCCAATCAATGAATGGGGATATCTTTCTATTTTTTTGTCTTCAACAATTTATTTTATCAACACTTTATCATTTTCAGTGTACCAATTTTTCCTCTTTAGTTAAATTCAGTCCTAATATTTCATTATCTTTGCATATCTGACTCCGTAGCTTTTCATGTGCGTATCAATGGCCCCCACCACTAATTTTGCACCCATAATTGACCTTAGACCCTGCTCCAGGCCCTGGCTTTCACCACCGTTTGCTGTGCATCCGAAGCTTGCCCATGCAGCTATGTGCTACGTAGCTGAATGTATTCATATGGCTGGCCCCAAATCTTATTACTGTCTTCCCTGTTCCTCAGTCACTGTAATCAGAGGTGCTACCAGAGACTCAAAGAGCCCCTGCAGCTACTATGGACCTCCTACAGCTATGGCCACCAAATACCATGCAGTTACCATCACTGTGGACCCTAAATGCCTGAGTTGATGAGACACTGTTCCCCCGCAAGAGCTGGAACCACCATACACCCACAACTTGACAAAAGGCATCACTAGTCCTGGTATACAGAGATCCAACATGCCTCCTTATGTCTGCAGGTGAATGTCTTTCCTTACCAAGGCCAGTCCATAAAGTCTGGAGGAGGCAACTATTTCTTCAAATGCACAGACAACTATGAAAGACTCTGAGAATCAGGAATAATCAGGGGAACATCACAAAAGGAAAACAATAAACTTCCAGTAACCAACACAAAGAATTGGAGATCCACAAATTGCCTGACAAATAATTCAAAATAATTCTTCATAAGCTCAGTCAACCGCAATAAAACACAGGCAAAAAAATTAACAAAATCATAAAAACAATACCAAAAATAAACAAACAACAAACTCGAGAAATTTTACAAAGAGAAACATACAGGAGAACTAACCTAAGATTTTGGAGCTAAAGAACACAATGACCAATACAGGGAAATAAAAATTTGAGTTTTAAACCTTTTAGTTATACACTAGTTTAGTTAGTTATTTTAGCTTAGTTGAATTTTAAACCTGTTTTTCTAACCATACAGTTGGATTATTTTTATAAAAGCATAAATTTATAAAAAAATAATGGTTTAGAATGAAGACAATTTGGACAAGTACAAATTTTTAACATTTTTTCTAATATGTAAACAGTTATTTGTCACACATTTATTGTAACAAATAAAATAAACCAAAATGTAAAATAAAGAACAAGCAACATGAAGCAGTTTTGTGTAGCTTTAATTCCAGGGACTCTCCTTTAAGATTTTGGCATACATCTTACTTGGGTTGCATCAAATTGCAGAAAACAGAAACCATTCTACTAGTTAAAGCATAAAGAATTTTTTTTTAAAGAAAAACCAAGAACATAATTTAATACTGAACTAATAGAAGGGACTTCTAAAACTACAACAGAGATTATGATCACTAATTTTTCTTCAGCAAGTACAGTAATGATTAAGCCACAGACCCAGGAATCTGCTGTCATAGTTACTGATTCCAGAATTAAACAGCATACTCCCTGATAAGGAAAAGAGAAACCTGATCCTCAAACCATGGCCGCAGGAGACAGCTGCAGAAGTTCTACAATCAGTAACGGCAAAATGGATGCTTTGAACCTTCTCAGTTCCTCACCTCACCATAATCAGTCCTGAATCAAATTCACACAGGAGTGCATCTTATAGGAAGAATCTAAATTACACCCAGGAGCCTCACTGCGAGGAAATGTGAGAAAATAGGTTTTGCTCTCCAGCCTGTGTGGTAGAGAAAAGTGTATTAAAAGAAGGTTGGAATAGGTATCGAGCAAGTCAATGCCACATGTAGAAACTCCCTGTGGTGAGAACAAGTATATATTGATCTTTGCATGGAATTTTGTATATTAAAAAATCTCACCTTTCTAATGCATATTTCATATCTGAATTTAAAATAGTTCATGTAATTATTCCTATATATGCACTAATATTTCTAGTTTTGGGCAGTTGTTATTTGAAGAATACTGCAGTGAATACTCTCATATGTTTCTCATATACATACATGCTTTCTTTGTTCATGGATACCTCCTCAGAGGAGGATTGCTCTATGAAAATTCACCTCTTTAGTTAAAATCAATATATCTAATTTTATTTTCATAAGAATTGCAAAAAATACATATTTCCCTCAAAATTAAAAACAATATTTTGAGATATACAGTGAGAAGCAGAGTATTATTGCAAATTTAGTGCTACATTTAGATACTACGTGCTAGATTAGAAATTTTGGAAAGAGGTAAATGTGATCTTTTAGAAATTTAAGACTGGAAAATTTCCCAAAATGTAAACCACCTGAAATAGATGAACAGAAATGAGTGAGTGCACTGAACTTTCTTTATTCCTAGACAGGCATTATTAGTTGGAAGCAAGGCATTTCATTGTTGCTTCTGGTACCTCTTTCATTCTCTGCCAATTTGAGAAAGTTGTCAATCAAGAAGATCCCAGACGACAGCACAATTTTGAGATTATAATGCAGGGTGACAAAAAATTATCCCCATAGCTTGATCATTTTGTTATTCAAGTAGTGATGTGGCACCTATACAGGCCCATTGATTTTGATACTGGGAGAGAGACAATCAGGTAATCTTTATGAGACTGTGTGTGGTTAAGAAACACCTACATGTTAAGCTACTGTAATACATATTTCCTATTACCTCGGGAGATACCACTGGAGATTAAGGATCCAAATAATAGAAAAAATAATAGACAGAATCAGTATCTATCATGTAGGCCTAGGTTTAAACACCTAGGTCTGCTTGATTCTAAAGCCAGAATATTTTATTTCCTTTCATTTATTTCATTATTCATTATTTATTTTTTCTTATTTTTCTTCATCCCTTTGTTCCTTCCTTCATTCATTACCAGCACCAAGTTTTTGCTTGTAGTCTACTTTTAGTACACTAAAAAGTGTGTTTGAGTCTCTTACAAATGAAAGAGAACTATTAAAGCGTCATCATTAATACATGTCAGAAGACAGCAGAACTGTAAACAGAGCTCAGTTGCAAAGTTGAGAATCTTACTATTACAGTCTTCTCAGATATTCGGAAGTGTGTTTACTGTAGATAGGAGGCATGCATTCTTATTGTTTAGTAGGTTACATACCACACAAACTCAATCTTGTGCACAATGCAAAGAAGAGAGGTATTTAGGACTTCCACCAGAAATCTGAGATTGGAGGCTATATTAGTCTGTTTTCACACTGTTGATAAAGACATACCCAAGACTGAGCAATTTACAGAAGAAAGAGGTTTAAAGGACTTACAGTTCCACATGGCTGGAGAGGCCTCACAATCATTGCGGAAGGCAAGGAGGAGCAAGTCATCTTACGTGGATGGCAGCAAGCAAAGAAAGAGATCTTGTGCAGGGAACACCTCCCCGCTATAAAATCATCAGATCTCGTGAGACTTATTCACTATCATGACAATATCACGGGAAAGAACTGCCCACATGATTCAATTACCACCAACCGGGTCCCTCCCACAACCTGTGGGAATTCAAGATGAGATTTGGGTGGGGGCGCATCCAACCCCTATCAGAGGCATTAAACTAGTCTCCACTGTAGTCTTGTCTTTTAGGGAAAGGTCTTTGCAAGTCACATTTGTGAATTAATCAAGAATGCTAAGGCCTGACTATTCCTATCCAGGAATTTTCTTCCACTTTATTTCAATCACCCCTATCAAAATGCTTCATTATTTACACCTGATTTCAAGTGTGTTCAATCACTCTCTCTCCACAGGCTTTCCCTCTTAAACATAATTATGCTCAGGTTTTTTGCATCTTGAATTACCTAGCTGTCATTCAGGCTTTTGTTGCTGTTAGACAGTTCTCTACACATTTGAAATAAAGTCAAGGTTGAATTCAAATCACTACACTGTAAAATATACATGAGATATATCATCTTCAAAGCATTACAAATCTAAGAAGACAAAATGAAAACCGTAGGCCAAAAGTGAGTGGAGATATAAAACAAAAAAGTAAAGTCACTTTTACCCTGAAGTATTTTACATTGTCAGGCAAATTTCTGCTCTGTATTTTACGTGGAGTACAGGGGACAGAATATGCAGCTCAGAGAGAAAGGCTCACTCAGTGTGAAAAAACTTTTCCTTGGGTTCATTGATCAAAATTAGCTAAAGGCAGTTGTTGAGCTTTGCAGCTCCTTGAGGCAATGAAAACAAAATTGGGGGTATAATCCAAAATGCAGAAAATAAAAAGTGTTGACTCGCAAGAATACTTGAAAAATGGAGTCCTCATGCATTGTTAGTAGTAATGTAAAATGGTGCAGGCACTCAGTAAACCAGTCTGGCAGTTCCTCAAGTGAAACATACCAGATTTACAGGAGTGTAACTTATTACGATAACACTGTAAAAAGAATTTTGCATTATCTAGTAATCTGGAAGATATTTATACCTCAACATATAATTAATAACAGTAGTCTACATTATATGTTCACATATGCGTTAAAGAGTTTTGCAAAATTATATACCTACACACAAGTTTTATATTAATGTCTATCTTTCAAGGTAAGTATTTATAGTTTTAAAAGATAAAATTTCTTCCTTTTATACATATTGAAATTGTATAATAAAAACCATTATAGGCTTTAAGAAAGGGTATTTAGCTTTTTCTGTTTGGCCTTAAGTTATGACTTAATTAAATCACTCTGGCTGCAGGATGAAGTAACCGAACCATATGAAACAGTGTGAAACAAAACAAAACAAAAATATGTTTTTTCAATATGCCTAAATGGCAGGAAATTAAATCTAAATGATGTTAGCATCATTTAGACTTTAGAAAAGACTTTGTAATAAATAACTTCCAATAAGTAATTTATTTATACATATTCTAAGTATAGATATAGCACTCTTAAGCAGTAGATACTGAAATTATTTTTAAAAATAATTTCAGCTTTTATTTTAGATTCAAGGGGTACATGTATAGGTTATATGAGCATATTGTGTGATGCTGAGGTTTGGTTACAAATAATCCTGTCACCAGATACTGTGCACGGTACCCAGTAGATAGTTTTTTGGCCATTTTCCCCTCTTCCCGTCTAGTAGTCCTCAATGTCTATTATTCCCATCTTTGTGTTCATGTGTACCCAATGCTTAGCTTCCACTTATAAGTGAGAACATGCAGTATTTGGTATTCTGTTTCTGTGTAATTCTCTTAGGATAATGACTTTCAGCTGCATCTACGTTGCTGCAAAAGGCATGGTTTTTTTCTTTTTAATGTCTGTGTAGTATTCCATGGTGTGTGTGTACT
The DNA here is from genome assembly GCF_000001405.40 of Homo sapiens. Taxonomy (NCBI): domain Eukaryota; kingdom Metazoa; phylum Chordata; class Mammalia; order Primates; family Hominidae; genus Homo; species Homo sapiens. Next base: position 84,825,223 of record NC_000013.11, read on the forward strand.
ATATTTTCTTTATCAAATCTACCATTGATGGGCACCTGGGTTGATTCTATGTATTTGTTATTGTGAATAGTGCAGTGATGAACATACGAGTCCATGTGTCTTGTTGGTAAAATAATTTATTTTCTGCTGGGTGTATACCCAGTAATGGGATTGCTGCATTGAATGATAGCTCTGTTTTAAGTTCTTTGAGCAATCTCTAAACTGCTTTCCACAGGGCTGAACTAATTTACATTCCCACCAACAGTATATAAGCATTCCCTTTTCTCTGCAGCCCCACCAGTATCTTTTTTTTTTTTTATTAATAGCCATTCTGACTAGTGTGAGACAGTATCTCCTTGCGGTTTTGATTTGCATTTCTCTGATAATTAGTGATGTTGAGCATTTTTTTGTATGTATGTTGGTTGGCTGCATGTATGTCTTCTTTTCAGAAGTGTTCGCTCATATCTTTTGCCCACTTTTTTTTTTTTTTTTTTTGAGATGGAGTCTCACTCTGTTGCCCAGGCTGGAGTGCAGTGGCTCAATGTCGGTACACTGCAACCTCCACCTCCCAGGTTCAAGCAATTCTCCTGCCTCAGCCTCCTGAGTAGCTGGGACTACAGGTGTGCACCACCATGCTGAGCTAATTTTTGTGTTTTTAGTAGAGACAGGGTTTCACCATGTTGGCCAGGATGGTCTCGCTCTCTTGACTTCATGACCTGCCCGCCTCGGCCTTCCAAAGTGCTGGGATTACAGGTATGAGCCACTGCACCCGGCCTTTTGCCCACTTTTTAATGGGATAATTTGTTTTTTGTTTGTTGAATTAAGTTTTTTATAGATTCTGGATCTTAGACCTTTGTTGGATACGTGGCTTGTGAATTTTTTTCTCTCATTTTGTAGGTTGTCTGTTTACTCCCTTGATAGCTTCTCCTGCTCTGCAGAAGCTCTTTAGTTTAATTAGGTCTCACTTGTCAATATTTGGTTTTGTTGCAATTGCTTCTGAGGACTTAGTTACAAATTCTTTCCGAAGGCTGATGTCTAGGATGATTTTCCTAGGTTTTCTTTCAGAATTTTTATAGTTCGAGGTCTTATATTTAACTCTTTAATCCATTTTGAGTTAATTTTAGTATACGGTTAATGGTAGAAGTCCAGTTTCATTCTTACGAATATGGCTAGATAGTTATTCCAGCACCATTTATTGAATAGGGAGTCTTTTCCCCATTCCTTATTAAATAGTTGTCATGTACACTGAAAATGCAGTTTTAAAGCAAATTGAGGAAAAACATTAATGGGTAAACAAATATTTTGAAACTGTTTTGTAATTGTGTCATTCCCTGTAAAATTTACTAAAAAAGGAGGAGGCATCAGATTGCTTCTAAACTGACCAGCGAAATTCTGATAACTGTTGAGGCACATTTCCTGCCTGCTTTCAGTAGTTCAAGGAGCTGGATCAGTCAGAAAGCTCTGTTATTTGTTACATGATTGCTTATTAGTCCTTCTTCCTTTTCCCAAGTACAGCCAATAGATAGTTCTTCCTGGAACCTTTGATGGATATCTAGTTCAGTTAAGCTGCACGTAAGTAAGCCTCTGTGTGGAGTGAGAACTCAAGGTATTTTTTAAGGTCTGCTATTTCTCTGCTTGAAAGTCTTCTCCATAAATTCTATTTTATGTTTACAGTTTGAACCACTTTTGACGTCCATGTTCCAATGAAAAAGCATGGTTTTGAAGTCTTAGAAGAGTTCTGCCTCTCATCCTTTTTTCTTGAGAAATCTTACATTACACAAAACAGAGACATTTAATTTGAATTGAGGATATAAGATTGAGTTATAGGAGTCTGTACTGAAAGAGTTCAGAGCAACTTATTTTCCCCTGGATGAAAAGATGATCAAAGCAAAACAAGTGTCAAATCCTCTGAAGTCTAGTATTTCCTGGATAACCACAGAGGGACAAGAAGCTCTTATAAATAATTGGGAATAAATGTATCTAGGGAAAATCACAGACAAATATGTACATGCATATCAATTTTTTTTCTTTTTTCGACAAATATTGTACTCCATTATTTACACATGAAAGTGTTCTAATAAGATTTAGAAGCATGATGCTCATATTATCCTTAATATATACTTTGTAATTAAATTTAAAAAGTGAAAAGTATCTCGTGAATAGATGTATAACATTCAGAATTATAATATAAATCACCAAATGTACACAATCA